>NC_000001.11:248002303-248153818 GCF_000001405.40 Homo sapiens | reverse complement strand
TCAAGGTAAGGAACATCTATTATATTCACAGAATAAAGTCTAAATGTTATTTTCTTAGTCTATTACTTTGAGCCACTGTGGATGTATGTCTTTGGCCATTTAATCCATATGCCTGATATGATTTTCTTTAAAACAACTTCAAGGACTGGAAATATATTCCAAACACTCTAATCCTTTTCAATAAGCAGAACCACTGAAGCATTTACCAATTATAGAAAAATTTGCTTCACCTATGAATCAATAAGACAAATAAAGTCAGTCCAACTAAGATTAAATGATTTTTCATTATTGGGAATGTGACAGCAACAGAGTTACAAAAATTTTATTCTTACTATTATGTAAAAAGATATTTACATTTGAAAATCCAGAAAAGTTTACTTATATTGTGAATTTCAATGTAAGTCCAATAATCATTACTAAAATATTTAAGTATCAGTGTGTAATTTAGGGGCACTTGTAAATTATCTATTCACTGGGAATCTAAATAACAAAACTATTTCTTTGTTGGATCAGTGCATGAAGATTTGATTAATTTTAACAACCTGAAAGAGAGTTGGATCTGGTATCCCATAATAAAAGTTAAATTTTTGGGATGGAAGCAATTAGAGGTGAAAAATTAAGATGTCGTCTGGGTTGAAGTTACGGCAGTATCTTCCAAGAGCCACCAAAAATAAAAAAATCAAGAAGAAACACTGACTAAATATGTAAAAATCGTTGTATTAACTTTTATTTCAAAGTGAATTTCAAGACGTTCAATAAAATTTTGAGTTTATACCTTTGGAAAAGAAGATTTCTTTGCTACCTGGCTGCATACAATGCAGTTTATAATACTGAAAAAACATGGAACTTTAACATCTTGATTTAGATGATGGATAGGAGGGAGGACTAGCTTTCAGCTCCCACTCAGATGGACAGAGTAGCGTGTGGAAACTCACATTGTGAATGTTTGCACCAAGAACTACTACAGGAACATACCAGGAAAGCTGAGAGAATCCAGAGACCCTTTGAAGGAACTGGATCACTGATGCAGGCTCCCTGAGACGCTCAGAACTTGTGAGCCTGTTTGCTTTCTCAAAAGACAGGCCCATGGTCTGGGGCAAGTTGTCAGCCCTGGTCACCAGCTGCCTGCAAATAGACTTGTTGCTGTTGTGGGGGCAACAGGGAAGTGAGATTGGCCTTCAGAACTGCAGGCTGTGTGGGAGCTGAGTGAGGCCTGTGAAGGCTGGCTTTCTGCTACTTCTCTGGTAACCTCTGTGCTGCAGCAGAGACAGCCATAGTCCTCCTGGGAATATAACTCCATTAGACTGGAAACCACACCCCCATCCCTTACAGCAGCAGGAGCAGCAAGGCCCAACCAAGGCGAGGCTGAGCTCAGACACACCTATACTTGCCCCCACCTGGTGGTATTTATCTACCAACCTTTGTAGCTGAAGACAAAGGTCATAATCTCTTGTAAGCTCTATGGCCCTGCCCACCACCTTAGAAACCTGAATACTTGACCAGTTGTAGGTACGGCAAGTTTGCATCCTCCCTACAGGGCCACTGCTGATGCACTCTGGAAAGCGCCACCTCCTGGCTGGAGGCCAACCACAACCAACACAAAAAGGACCCAAGGACCCTTACAAAGTCCACTTAAATCCCCTGCTGCCTCCACCTGAGCAGGTGCTAGTATTCACTGCTGCAACACCTTTAGAGGGATCCCATCACAGGACTCTTTGCCGACATTCCCCAGTACCCGCCAAGAGTCTGGTAGCTTTGTTGTGTGGCTAGACCCAGAAGAGCATAAAAACCAATACAGTTTGGCTTTCAGGAAGCCTCATTCCTAGGGGAGGGGGGAGAACACCACCTCAAGGGAACACACAGTGGGACAAAAAAATCTGAATAGCAGCCCTTGAATCTCAGCTCTTCCTTCTGACAAGTCTACCCAATGAGAAGGAAACAAAAAACAATTCTGGTAATATGCCAAAACAAGGTTCATTCATACCCCAAAAGATCACACCAGCTCACCAACAATGGATCCAAACCAAGATGAAATCTCTGGATTGCCAGAAAAAGCATTCAGAAGGTTGATTATTAAGCTAATCAAGGTGGAACCAGAGAAAGGTGAAGTCCAACTTAAAGAAATCAAAAACACAATACAGGAGCTGAAAAGAAATTTCTCCAATGAAATAGATGACATAAATAAAAAACAATCACAACTTCTGGAAATCAAGGAAACAATGAGAGAAATGCAAAATGCACTGGAAAGCATGACCAATAGAATCGAACAAGCAGAAGAAAGAACCTCAGAGATTGAAGGCTAGGTTTTTGAATTAACTCAATCCATCCAAGACAAAGAAAAAGAATTTTTAAAAATGAACAAAGCCTCCAAGAAATTTGCGACTATGTTACGTGTCCAAACCTGAGAATAATTGATGTTCCTGATAAGATGAGACATCTAAAAGTTTGGAAAACGTATTTGAGGGAATAATTGAAGAAAACATCCCCAGCCTTGCTAGAGATCTAGACATCCAAACACAAGAAGCTCCAAGAAAACCTGGGAAACTCATTGCAAAAGATCTCATCACCTGGCACCTAATCAACAGGTTATCTAAAGTCAAGATGAAGGAAAGAATCTTATGAGCTATGAGACAAAAGCAGCAGGTAATCTATAAAGAAAACCATACCAGATTAACAGCAGATTTCTCATGAAAAACCTTACAAGCTAGAAGGAATTGTGGACCTATTTTCAGCCTCTTTACACAAAACAGTTATCAGCCAAGAATTTTGTATTCAATGGAACTAACCTTTATAAATGAAAGAACGAGACAGTCTTTTCCAGACAAACAAATGCTGAGACAATTCAACACTACCAAGCCAGCATTATAAGAACTGCTAAAAAGAGCTCTAAATTTTGAAACAAATTCTTAGAATACACCAAAATAGAACCTCCTTAAAACATAAATCTCACAGGATCTATATAACAATAACAGAATGAAAAAAAAAACCAAGGTATTCAGGCAACAAATACCACGATGTATAGAATAGTACCTCACATCTCAATACTGACACAGATGTTAGTGGTCTCAGTGTTCCACATAAAAGATACAGAATGGCAGAATGGTTAAGAATTAACCAAAGATGTTTCTGCATCTTCAAGAGACTCACCTAACACATAAGGACTTACATAAACTTAAAGTGGTGGAAGAAGATATTCCATGCAAATGGACAACAAAAGTGAGCATGAGTAGCTATTATTATATCAGAAAAAAAAACTTTAAAGCAACAGTAGTTAAAAAAGACAAAAGGGGACATTATATAATGATAAAAGGACTACGCCAACAGGAAAATATCACAATCACAAATATATATGCCCCTAACAGTGGAACTCCCAAATTTATAAAACGATTCCTACTAGACCTAAGAAATGAGATAGATGACAACACAAAAATAGTGGCGGTGTTCGATGTTCCCCTTCCTGTGTCCAAGTGTTCTCATTGTTCAATTCCCATCTATGAGTGAGAACATGCGGTGTTCGATGTACCCTAGAACTTAAAGTATAATAAAAATATATATATATAAAATAAATATAATAAAAAATTCTTATAAAAAATAATGGCAGATTTTAATACTCCACTGAGAACACTATGCAGGTCATCAAAACAGAAAGTCAACTATGTACTGAAACCATACCCCACAACAAATGGGCTTAACAGATATTTACACAGCATTCTTTTTTTATTTCTTTGAGATGCAGTTCTGCTCTTGTCACCAGGCTGGAGTGCAATGGCATGATCTCAGCTCACTACAAACTCCACCTCTGGGTTTCAAGTGATTATTCTGCCTCAGCCTCCTGAGTAGCTGGGATTACAGGTGCCTGCCACCACACCTGGCTATTTTTATGTTTATGGAGATGAGGTTTCTCCATGTTGTCCAGGCTGTTCTCGAAAGCCTAACCTCAGCTGACCTGCCCAACTTGGCCTCCCAAAATGTTGGTATTATAGGTGTGAGCCACCATGCCCAGCCTATATACAGAATATTCTACCCAACAACTGTAGAATATACATTCTATTCATCAGCACATGGAACGTTCTCTAAGACCATATGACAGGATACAAAGCAATCTCAGTAAATTTAAGAAAATAGAAATTATATCAAGTACTCTCACAGAACACAGTGGAATAAAATTGGAATCAACTCCCAAAAGAACACTCAAAAACATGCAAATATATGGAAATTAAATAACCTGCTCCTGAAAGATCATTGAGTCAACAATGAAATAGAGGTGGAAACTAAAAATTATTTAACTTGAATGATAATAGTGACACAACCTATCTAAACCTCTGCAATACAGCAAAAGCAATGCTAAGAGGAAAGTTCATACCATTAAATGCCTACATCAAAAAGTCTGACAGAGCACAAATAGACAATCTAAAGTCACATCTCATGGAACTGGGGATACAAGAACAATCCAAACCCAAACCCAGCAGAAGAAAAGAAATAACAAAGATCAGAGCAGAACTAAATGAAATTGAAACCAAAAGACAATACAAAAGAGAAATGAAACAAACAGCTGGTTATTTGAAAAGATAAATAAAATTTATAGACCATTAGTAAAATTAACCAAGAAAAAGAGAGAAGATCCAAATAAGCTCAATTAGAAATGAAATGGGAGATATAACAACTGATTCCACAGAAATACAAAAGAGTATTCAAGGCTACTATAAACACCTTAATGTGAATAAACTGGGAAACCTAGAGGAGATGGATAAATTCCTGGAAATATATAACCATTCTATCTAAAACAAAGAAGATATAGAATCTCTGAACAGACCAATAACAAGCAGCGAGACTGAAATGGTAATTAAAAAAAAAAAAAACTGCCTACACAAAAAAAGTCCAGGACCTGATTCACAGCTGAATTCTATCAGACATTCAAAGAAGAATTAGTACCAATCCTATTGACACTATTCCAAAAGATAAAGAGGGAATCCTCTCTAAATTATTCTATAAAGTCACTATCACCCTAATACCAAAAGCAGGGGTGCACACAACAAAAAACAGAAAACTACAGATGAATATCCCTGATGAATATAGATGCAAAAATCCTCAAAAATACGGCCAAACTGAATCCAACAGCATGTCAAAAAGATAATCCACCATGATCAAGTAGGTTTCATACCAGGAATGGAGGGATGGCTTAACATAAGTAAGTCAATAAATATGATACACCATGTAAACAGAATTAAAAACAAACATCACATGATCATCTATCTCAATAGACACACACAAAAAAATTGACACAATGCAGCATCCCTTTACAATTAACACCCTAAGCAAAATTAGCATAGAAGGGACATACTTAAGATAATCAAAGCTATCTACGACAAATTCACAGCCAACATTATACCAAATGGAAAAAAGTTAAAAGCATTTCCCCTGAGAACTAGAACAAGAAAAGGATGCCCATTTTCACCACTTCTATTCAACATAGTACTGAAAGTCCTACCTAGAGCAATCAGACAAGAGAAAGATATAAAGGGCATTCAAATTGGTTAAAAGAAAGTAGAACTGTTGCTGTTTGCTGATGATATAATTGTATACCTAGAAAACCCTAAAGACGCATCCAAAAAGCTCCTAGAACTGGTAAATAAATTCAGCAAAGTTTCAGGATACCAAATTAATGTACACAAATCAGTAGTTCTGCTGTACACCAACAGCGAACAAGCTGAGAATCAAATCAGGAACTCAATCCCTTTTACAATAGCTGCAAAAACAACAATAACAACAAGAACAAAAAACCTTAGGAATATACCTAACCAGGGACGTGAAAGACCTCTACAGTGAACATTACAAAACATGGCTGAAAGAAATTATTGACAATACACACAAATGGAAACACATCTCATGCCCAGGGATGGTGGAATCAGTAGTGTGAAAATGACAATACTTCCAAAAGCAATCTATAAATTCCATGAAATTCCCATCAAAATGCCACCATCAATCTTCACAGAACTAGAAGAAACAATCCTGAAATGAATATAGAGCCAAAAAAGAGCCTGCATAGCCAAAGCAACACTAAGCAAAAGAACAAATCTGGAGACATCATAATAACTGACTTCAGACTATACTATAAAGCCATAGTCATCAAAACAACATGGTGCTGGTATAAAAATAAGCACATAGATCAATGAAACTCAATAGAGAACCCAGAAATAAAGTCAAATACAGCCAACTGTTCTTCAACAAGGCAAACCAAAACATAAAGTGGGGAAAGGACAAGGTATTCAACAAATGGTGCTGGAATAATTGAAAAGCCACATGTAGGAGAATGAAAGTGGATCCTCATCTCTCACCATATACAAAAATCAACTCAAGATGGATTAAGGACTTACACCTAAGGCCTGATGCCATAAATATTATAGAAGATTACATCGGAAACACCCTCGTAGACATTGGCTTAGGAAAAGACTTCATGACCAAGAACCCAAAAGCAAATGTGACAAAAACAAAAATAATTAGATGTGACTTAATTAAACTAAAAAGCTTCAGCACAGCAAAAGATATAATCAGGAGAGTTACAGACAACACACAGAGTGGGAGAAAATCTTCACAGTCTATTCATTTGATGAAGGAATAATTTCCAGAATCTACAAAGAACTCCAACAAATCAGCAAGAAAAAAAATTCCATCAAATAGTGGGCTAAGGGACATGAATAGACCATTCTCAAAAGAAGATATACAAATGGCCAACAAGCATATGGAAAAATGCTGGACATAACTAATTATCAGGGAAATGCAAATGAAAACCACAATGTGATACCACCTCAGTCCTGCAAGAATGGCCAAAATCAAACAAAAAAAAATGTTGGCAGGATGTGCTGAAAAGGGAACACTTTTACACTCTTGGTGGGAATGTAAACTAGTACAACCACTATGGAAAACACTGTGAAGATGGAAAACACTGTGAAGATTCCATAAACAACTAAAGGTAGATTTACCATTTGATCCAGAAACACCACTACTAGGTGTATACCCAAAGGAAAAGAAGTCATTATACAAAAAAAGTATTTGCACACACATGATTATAGCACCAAAATTTGCAATTGCAAAAATATGGAACCAACCCAAAAGCTCATCAATCAACAAGTGAATAAAGAAAAGGCGGCATATATATATATATACACCATGGAATACTATCAGCCAAAAAATGGAAAAAATATTAGCATTTTGCAGAAACCAAGATAGAATAGGAGACTATTATTCTAAGTGAAGAAATGAAGAAATGGAAAACCAGACATTGAATATTCTCACTCATATCTGGGAGCCAGGCTATGAGACACCAAGGCATAAGAATGATACATTGGACTTTGGGGACCTGGAGAAAAGGTGGGGGTGAAGAGGGATTAAAGAATACACATTGAGTACAGCGAACACTGCTTGGGTGATGGGTGAACAAAAATCTCAGAAATCACCAAAGAACTTATTCATGTTACCAAACACCATCTGTTCCCCAAAAACCTATTTAAATAAAAAAATTTAAAAAACTTTAATGTCATTATTGAAAATGCCTTATATTGTAGTAACAACTGAATTGAATATAAAACAAGAAATATTTAAAATAGTTTATCTGAAATAGATTATATAGGTGCCCGTTTATGTACAAAATGAAAGCTATTTTGAGGACTTAATGGAAAAAAAGGGACAGTTAAAAGAATTTAGCAGACAGCAAAGCATAAAGTTTACAAAGTACTCACTCTCCACACTTGCCCTTTCCTAACACTTTCCTGAGTGCTCTGGTCACCTCCTTGTTGCGGAGGCTGTAGATGAGGGGATTCAGCATGGGAGTGAGGATGGTGTAGAATACAGACACCAGCTTGTCCTGCATAGGGGAGCGATCAGATGTGGGCCGTATGTACATGAACAAACCTGCTCCATAGTACATTCCCACCACCATGAGGTGAGAGGAACAGGTAGTAAAAGCTTTGCGACGACCCTCTCCAGATCCCATGTGAATGACAGCCAGAATAACTCGAGCATAGGAAGCGATGATGATTGCAACAGGAAAAACAATCATTACTATACAGCAGATGAAAAGAACCTTTTCAAATATTGATGTGTCATTGCATGAGAGGATTAGTAGGGAAGGGAAGTCACAGAAGAAGTGGGCTATTTCCCGAGACCCACAGTAGGAGAAGGAAAATGTCGCTACAGCATCAATGATTGCATCCATAGAGCCCAGGATCCAGGAGAAGGCAGTCATAAGTCCACAAATTTTGGGTCTCATGAGATTGGTGTATCTTAGAGGGTGGCAAATGGCAATATAGCGGTCATAAGACATAACAGCCAACAGAAAGCATTCGGAGCCAAGCAGTGATACATAGAAGAAAATTTGTGTGGCACAACCAGCCATAGAAATGGACTTGCTGCCAGACAAGTAGTTGAAGGCCATCTTGGGTACGGTAGAGCAGATGAGCATGAGGTCCATGAGGAACAGTTGACTGAGGAGGAAGTACATGGGGGTGTGGAGCTGGGTGTCCAGGTAGATGAGGAGAACCATGACAGAGTTTCCCATGAAGGCCACTGAAAAGATGGCCAGGACCAGAAAGAAGAGGAAGGTGTGGGTGGGGCTGTGATTGAAGATTCCCAGGAGGATGAAGTCAGAGTTGAAGGTCTGATTCTCCCATGCCATGATGAATATGTTTTTTACCTAGTAACACAAAACCAGTTCATTGATTTGGTAAAACTTTACCCAGTACCTTATAAAGCATGTGATTTTGGTAAATTTTGCAGGTCAGTGATCAATACAGTATGACCAGAAGTAAGAAACTAAAAGTTCAAAAAGTATAGAATCAGAACAAAATGTGTTCTTTCAGCACTGCCTCACTGATAAAATTATGGAGCCTGTCCTAAGTTTCTCTTCCGAGTGTCCTTTTTCTCAACTGAAATATTAGAATAACAATATTCAATACATTATTGATGGAGTTTTTCCAAAAAGAATATGTCTCCAAAGCAAACAGATACTTCCTTAGAAATCAGAAGTCTTTTACAGATACGTTGATACAGCAATTCAGCTTTAGTCAGCATGTGACCAACACAATAGTAGAAATTGAAAGTAAATTTGTGTCTTTGTTCACATTATAGTAGGCACTTTTCTACCAGTGTTAACAGAAACTGTTTGGTTGCCTATTACTTTACAGTTTAGAGTATTTGATCTACTCCTCATAGTGAGTTTTCTATACACTAAGTGGATACACCGAAAGGATTTTCAATTATTCAAATCTAAAACCTAGGCCCTTTTTTCTATAGCCCTGTGTTATGGATTGAATTATATTTTTTTTGTCAAAAGGATATTCAGGATGTGAGCTTGTTTGGAAAAACATAAAGACTGTAATTAGTTAAGGTGAGGTCATATTGGAGCAGAGCGCGCCTCTCTAATCCAATATGACTCATGTTCTGATCAGAGGGCGGCCATGTGAAGACTGAGGCACTGAGGATACCATGTGATGGGGGAGGCAGGGATTGGAGTGGTGCATCTGCAAACCAAGAAATGCCAAAAACTGTTAGTTATCACAAGAACCTGGGAGAAAGTAATGGGAAAGATTCCTCCTCTTAGAGCCTTCAGAAATAACCAACCCTGCTGACAACTTGATTTCAGATTTCTAGCCTGCAGAACTGTGAGAGAACAAATTTCTGTTGTTTTAGGTAACCAGTTTGTGATACTCTGTATTCTCATTCCTAGGGAACTAATACACCCAATATCTCCTCTGAAGAATAAGTACAAAGAAAAACGGAATTTCAGAAAAGCATGAGATGCATGCTTTCGAAACATGCTTATGAAGCCTGGCTATGTGTTGAGCACTGGGGCTACCACAATAATCAGAACAAAGAAGGCCCGTGCCCACACAGGTCACAGGGAGTGAGGCCAGATGATGACATATAACCCACTTTATGTCACAAGAGGATAAACGCTTCAGAGAAAAGCAAGTCAAAGAAAGGTGTTCGAATTGCAAGAGCACGTTCAACTTTGAGCAGCGTAGTCAAGGGAAACCTCACATGTCTAGTGGCATTTCGCAAAGACTCTGAGGAAGTGAGAAAGAGACCAGATCACAGGAAAGGTTTATCCATATATGCATTCCACAAAATGATATGCAATAATTAGAAGATTTTGGGAAAACATAGGGTTTTCTAATTTAGAGTTATATTTCTTGCATGTTGTGGCATTTAGATTTTATTCTATGAGATAATTCTACATGTATCAGCAAAGCCAATTTGTGAAGGAAAATTATTCCAGACAATAAAAAATGATGTCATAAACAGAAAGACAAGCCTGTTGAGTAGACTCATTTGACAGAAATGCACTTTTTATGCTTATTCATGCATCACATTTTACTGAAGGGACTAAAATCAGCAATAATGGAAGCTGAATAATCTAGGAGCAACAAAGGAGTTAGAAGAAATCTGCAGAGGAGATGGAATCTTGAATTCGGCCTGATGGGTTGAAATACAATTTTTTAAATATGAGGTAGTAAAGTATACTTTTTTGAGTTTTATTTATTTAAATAAATTGTGAATAATATTGTGGGTAAGAAAGAAAAAAAATACTCAAAAGTAGTTTAAATTTTAATTCAACAACAACTGTGACCTGAGAATACAAACCTACCAAAAAATATCTCTTCAGTGCTGGGAAGATAGAGAGGGAACCTCCTTATGGGACTCTCATGAAATAGAATAGCAATTTTTAAAAGAAAAACAAATCATTTTTCTCAATCAGTATGAAGAGAGAAACAGGATGCAACTTTCCTCCATTCGGGTTTTAAAACAAATAGTTATCAAGAAGTTGGATAAAGCTGATTAGTGGTAGCTCAGATCCAGGTCCAGTCAATGTCTTCAGAATGAGAAATGGGCATCTCTGGGATCTTTAGTGTTGAGGGTTTCCTACCACAGAGTTCCCTTGTTTTGTCCTCAGGAGGAGGTGCGCTTTTAAGGTCAATCAGGAGAAAAGACTTTATATTGCCTCAATAATTCCCAGTACGTATTGGCTGAATTCACTTCAGGAAAATAACTCATCTCAACTTACTTTATGGAACCACCTATTGTGAGCATCATACCATAGTATTCCCAGTTGCCTTGATCTTGTCAACTGTTGTAATACACTAATTTATGCAAACAAAACTGTATTGACTCAAATTTCCATCATAATTTTTCTTTAAGTAGGTCTGCAATATTACTCCAAGAAGGAAGCTATCTGGTCAAGTTAGCTTGTTCCTATGTTTCTTTTTAAGTTGGCAAAGTGTTCTTTACATTTGAGAATCATTCCTTCCCAGTCACTAAATTGAAATAAAATGTTGAATAATTCTACTCGATCATTTAGACATTTTTACCACATATGTTTTAAACTCCACTGAATGATGAAGCATTAAAACAATTGAATAACGAATGTAAATCCACATATCCCTCTGACTTTTCTCAGTTACATTAGCTTAGGCTGAATTTATATAAACTCACTCTTATTTGTGTTGTATTTTTTCACCTCCCTTCATTGCCTCAAAATTCCCTTCATACCCATGTGTTAAAATTGTCTTCATTGAGTTTGTCCTGTCACAGAGACTGTGGCAAGATATATCACAAATTTATAACAATTTATAAGTGATAAAATTGAAAATATTGAGCACTACATTGCCTTGTACCTTCTATATTAAGATTCATATGAATATTTATTCAATAAAATTCTAGAAAGAGAAATAGTTGTTACTTGTGAGAAAATTAGAGATTTCTTCGAAGTTAGTAAGATACATATGACAGATTGTGCTTACTTTTAGGCACTAAGAATATGAGACCAAATTCTGAAGCTCAGTGTAAGCTATCCAAGATGTGTTTGTATTCTTATAAAAATGGGTTTGTGGTGAAATATTTTTTGCAACTCTAATTTGTGCAGGACTATTCACTGCCAAACACAGCAGGACATTTGAGTTGCAGCACTGTACTAGGAGGAAAATAAAAAGCAGCTTTTTCAGAATGGATCTGAAACTATGACATATTGATTTCAATTTTTTTCAGAATATCTATCAACATCTCAAGAGTGTTCACATAATGATGTACAACATTTTGAACTCTAGACATAGCCTTCCAAGTATTTATTTTCCTTAGTTGTAATATCATGCTTCTATTTTTATTTATTTTATCTAATCCACATTGTATCTGTTGTAATTAACTCCATCATTTTGTAAAAAGATCGTGCATACATTTAGTTTTTTCCAGTGTCTTTTTATACATTAACCTTATTACATCTGGAAGAGGAGTCATCAGATTTCATGACACTGTGATACTGTGCACATGTCCAGAGCAATATAACACAGAACTTATGAAAATCCTGGTCATAATTCATGACAGTGTGATACTGTGCACATTCCCAGAGCAATATAACACAGAAACCATGAAAATCATGTTCAGAAATTGAGAAGTTACTGAGTTAGATGATGGAAAGGAGACATTGAGTGGACAAAATTTTATTAAAAAAAGAAATAAAGCAGTTCTGAAATATTGTCAGACAGCATGTGTAATCCACTGTAGTTGCTAAACTGACTTTACACTTTTGTAATAATAATTAACCCTTTTGTAAGAGGAATGATCAGGAAACAAAAGAAAACAACAAATTTCTCATATTAGCAAAAATGAGCATAGCAACTTTATTTGTAATATAAAACCGCTCCCTGCATGCACACTGAAAATGGAATTTATAACCAAAACTACAGGAAGTAGCATTGATGAGTCTCACAAATAGAATGTTGAATGAACAAAGTAGATCACAGGGAATGACTTCATGAATCCTATTATGAGTAATTTAAACACACATATAAAAATCTATTATAAAGCACAGCAATACTGGAATAATGATTACCTACAAAATTGGCCTGAAAGGTTACATGATCACAGAGAGATAAGCTGTGTTTCAAAAGCACTGGTAATATTTTAAAGCATTTTACAAAATGTATATCCAACATATTTGTTGTAAATAAACATTTTTGTATACTTCAAGTTTAAAAACATATTTAAATGATAGGTGTAAATGTCTTAGAGGAGCACATGACAGATGTAAGCATTCATTAATACAGGTTGAGGATTCCTTATCCAAAATGCTTGGGACCAGATGTGTTGCAGATTGCAGATTTTTCTCACACTTTGAAATATTTGCATATGTATAAGGAGATGTCCTGGGAATGGAACCCAAGAGTGGAGACAAAATTAACTTATGTTCTATGTATACCTTATACACATAGCCTGAAGGTAATTTTATGCCATATTTTAAAATAATTTTGTGTAAAGGAGAAAGTTTGTGTACACTGAACCATCAGAAAGCAAGAGTGACACAGTCTCATGTCAGCACTCAAAAAGATTCCGATTTGGGAGTAGTTTGGATATTAGATTTTTGGTTTAGGAGTTCTCATCCTGCATGAGCTACAATTATTAAAAGAAAAGAGAATGTGGCCAAAACTTTCAAATCATGTCCCACTCTCATCTGCTACTTTTCTCCTCTGACTCCCATTCACTATCAATATCTTTTACAAATCTAGAATGCCAGGACATGAAAAAACAAAAATAATGGATTTTATCCAATCTTTCACATTGATAAGCTGGGACAGGTAACCACTCCTTCTGCCTCAGGTTGTACCACATTTCTCAAAGTCATATTGTACAGATAAAATAGAATAAAATTGAAAAAATTCTCGGCCCAAAAATGACATAAGAAATGAAATCAATCATCAGCACATTCAGCAGAAATTTCAGCACTAGCTTATACCCAGTCTTGTTTGCGCTTGGTTAACTTACATCTTAGTACTTATCTGAATAATGTGTATTTTCAGTAAGATTGTAGGTTCCTAAAAAGGCAAAAATATATGAATATCTGACATGTTTTTATGTTTCCATCATTAGGAAAAAAGCACCTAACATACAGTTGGAATCTTTATTGTTATTAACAAATGAATGAAAGGACAAAAACTTAAATTTTTAGCCCTTGGGGAATCCATTCCCTTGTCTTTATCAAAGTTTGTATTTCCTTCTATCTCCTCTCTTAGGACATGAAGCCAAATTAGCTTCCTTTTCTTGAAAATACTACAAAGATAATTATGCCCCCTTCCCTGTAGATCAGTGGAAACTTTCTGAAACTTCTCCCTCTCTCTCACATGATGAGGTGAAACACACCAAGTGCTTTCTGTATAACTGGCACTGTGGTTAAAAAAAAACAAAACAAAACTGTAAACTCACATAATACCTACAACCATTGTGTATGCCAGATACCCCTATTAGACACATGTATATATTATAATATAATATCTTTAATTATACTGTCATTTTTTTTACATGTGAAACTGAGGGCAGAAGCTTAAGTAAATTGACTTCAGTCGCAGAGCTAGAGAATGGCAGTCAGGGCGTTCAGGGCTAATATCCTTCCTCTTCTATGGTTTCTCTTCACTGTTCCTTCTGCTCCATCATCAAAGCAAGATATGCTTGGGTAGAACTGGCACTTTTAACATCTTGAGGTTCCCTACATAATTCTAATTCTATATGTATGTTCCTTAATATGCTTTCTATCCCTTAAAACTACTGTATATATTTTCTGTAAAAGTTATTATTATAAAATAAAATGTTCATGGGAATTTTCTTTTTTGTTGCTCTAGCGTATGGAATATTGTGTGTATTATTTCTTCTATTTCTTTTAGTTAATATATAGAAATCTATTAATTGTTGCTTATAGGCCTTGAATCCAAGAATGCTATTTTTATTTTTGTATTTCTTATTGCATAGAAAAATGCCTGTATACAACGGCTGAACAACTTTAGATCGCTTTCCAAATTAATCTATTTTTCCTTACTTCATTGATTAAAATGTATATTGTTAAAATGTTGAAGAATAATATTAATGAGTACCTTAAGCCTTTAGCAATTATGGTTCTCCATTAGATATAGTGTTTGTCTGAGGCTTAGGTAGATAGATTCAGCACATTAGCAAAATCCCATTTTATCTCTTTTACCAATGCTTTGTTCAATAAATGTTCACTGAATTGTATTGAATGATATCCTGCTTTTACTGATAATTGTATTGTTTTCCTTAAATTGTTCATAGCCTCAATTACAACGATAGTTATTTTGTATCTTCATAAATATTTCAGTGGAAGATAATGTATAAAACAAAACACCAATGTACCCATCACCAGCTTAAAATAAAATATTACAGGCCATGTACGGATCCTCATGCCTGTAATCTTAGGACTTTGGGAGGCTGAGGCTGATGGATCACTTCAGTTTAGGAGTTTGAGACTAGCCTGACCAAAATGGTGAAACTCTTTCTAAACTCAAAACACAAAACTTTGCCAGCGTGGTGGCACAGACCTGTAATCCCAGCTGCTCAGGAGGTTAAGGCAGGAGAATCACTTCAACTTGAGAAGTGGAGGTTGCAGTGAGCTGAGATCATGCCATGGCATTCCAGCCTGGGTGACTGTGCAAGACTCCATCTCAAAAATAACATTTAAAATATAAAAATAAAATAATAAATAAAATATTAGAAATTAGTAGAAGTCTGTGTGCACATAACCTGAATGTATGTTCTTTGTTCTTTGCCTCTAGACATAATAAAACCTGCATTTTTTGTTAAATACCCTCACTTGTTTCTTTCTTTTTTCGAGGGAGTAAATGTTCTATTCTTTAAACTAAATTCCAGTACTACCAAAGAGGTAAAACAATAATATACTGGAAAAAATGCCGTAATAAACATGTGTTTAAAAGACTGATAGAAAAAATAAAACACTTAAAAAAATCACAAACCCATTCTGAATGCCCAAGAACTCCTGGAATACAGGAATGGCTTCCCCCTTCACTATTTCTCAAGAAGTGCTGTGGCTATTTGCTTCAGATTGTCCTGGGATTACTTTCTCAATTTTTAATAACTGGTTATGTACTGGTTGTACCACACAATTAAAATCACACTAACTTCCTCTGCATTGTCATTCTAGTTTCATTTACACAACCAGCGAAGGATATGTTTTAGAATATCCCCCTTTAATCCTTTTCAAACATATTAAAATAAGGAGCCAAAACTGTATTAATATAGGTAGCAAAGGTCCACATTAAGTGGTGCTGAGATCGGGGAAATGTCCCAAACCAGTTGCTAGGGCCTGAGAGTGGTTGCCATTGTCAAAAGCTTGCAAAAACCTGTATTCACCGAGGGATCCTGGCATTGTGTCAGGACAAAATTGGGACCCTTTGCAATAAGTCAGCAAGGAATAAGGCAGCGGCAAATGCAGAATGTGTGAGTCATGAAACGTAAGAGCCAGCGCCAGAGCGTCACATTATTTCCCCAAGCGTGAACTTCACAAATGCCTCATCCTGTTCTGCCAGTTTTGTGTTTGATTTCTTCACGCTCTTCTCGAATTTTCTCATCACATTCTTTCAGAAAACGTTCACAGACCTACCCATCCTGCCCTAGAGTAGACAAGACCTGTCTTTATTTAATGGTGAGGATGTTATAGATGAAGTCCTTTGAGGAGAAAGGCCTGCGACCGTGCATCGGAAGTACAAGCTGGATCTGTTGTTTGGAAACTAGTTTCTGAAAACGCCTTCTCTTCCGCATGCGTTTATTCTCTTAGCTGCACAGAATTTGCTCGGTGCTGAGGCGGGAGGAGACTGGAGGGGGACAGCTCCGTTCCCAGCTACTGCTGGGCTGGTGGCGCGGAGGTGGGCGCAAAGGCTGAAGGTCGCACGTCCTGTGCTTCTGGAGGAGGTGCTGAACCCGGAGTCCACATGCTTCCTTTCCAGCGGGGCTCCTCTCACCTTGGTGCCGTGCTGGGTGGGACTGAGGAAGAGGACAGGCGAGGGAGGCGAGGGAACGCAGGGACCAAGGGAGCCTAACCAGGGACTCAGATGGAGCCACGCGGATCGCGGGTTGTGCAGCGCCCCACTGAGGGCTGGAGCCGCCTGAGGCCTGGAGCCCCCTGAGGACTGGAGCCCCCTGAGGACTGGAGCCACCTGAGGCCTGGAGCCCCCTGAGGACTGGAGCCTCCTTACAGATTTTTGGAGTATGTACCCAGAAGTGAAATTGTTGGATCATAGGAAAATTCTATAATATTTTTAACTTTTTAAGTATAGTATTTTTTACTGTTGATATACCAGTTTGCCATTTGTGTGTCTTCTTTGGAGAAAGTCTATTCCCGTCTTTTGCCCATTTTAAAAATAGATGACACACCAGGGACTGTTGTGGGGTGGGGGGAGGGGGGAGGGATAGCATTAGGAGATATACCTAATGCTATATGACGAGTTAATGGGTGCAGCACATCAACATGGCACATGTATACATATGTAACAAACCCGCACGTTGTGCACATGTACCCTAAAACTTAAAGTATAATAATAATAAAAAGCAAAAACTAGTAGGAATAAAAAAGATCACTACATAATGTAAACTACAAAAAAAAAAGGATTATTAGACTTTTTCCTATAGAGTTGTTTGAGCCCCTTATATATTCTGGTTACTAATTTCTTGTTAGATGGGTGGTTTTAAAATATTTTCTCCCATTCTGTGGATTGTCTCTTTACTTTGTTGATTGTTTTCTTTGTGCTGCAGATGCTTTTTAACTTAATTTGATTCCATTTATCCACATTTGCTTTGACTGGCTGTGCCTCCAGAGAATTGCTCAAGAAATCTTTGCCCAGTCCAATGTCCTGGGGAGTTTCCCCAATGTTTGCTGTTAGTCGTTTCATAGTTTGAGGTCTTAGATTAAAGGCTTTAAAACATTTTGATTTTTGTATAAGCCAAGAAACAGGTGTCTAGTTTCATTCTTCTTCATAAGGATATTCAGTTTTCCCAGCACCATTTTATTGAACAGACTATATTTTCCCAATATATGTTCTTGGTATCTTTGTCAAAAATTACTTCCCTGTATGGATTTGCTTCCTGGTTCTCTCTTCCATGCTATTAGTCTATGTGTTTGTTTTTAATGTCAGTATCATGCTGTTTCTGTTACTATAGCTCCTTAGTATAATTTTAAGTCAGGCAATGTGATTCCTCCAGTTTTTTTCTTTTTGCTCAAGATTGCTTTGGGTATTCTAGGTCTTTTAGGATTCCATATGCATTTTAGAATTTTTTCTATTTTTTGAAGAATGTTATTAGTATTTTGATAGAGATTAGTTTGAATCTGTAAATTGCTTTGTGTAGTATAGACGTTTTAACAATATTGATTCTTAAAATCCATCAACAAGGAATATTTTTACTTTTTTGTGTATCATAGTCAATTTATGGCACCAATGTTTTACTGTTTTTATTGTAGACGTATATCTGTTTTAATGGTTGATGTTGGTCAGTAGTACCTGAATTCCAAAGGGAGAAGTTTATAAGGGATAAAGCATGTTCAGCCTCCACCCTCTTTCCATTATGGCCTGAACAACAATTTGAAGTTTACTTTGGAATGTTCTTGGCTGAGAGGCAGATTCATCAGTCAGTTGGGGGCTTAGAATTTATTTTGGGTTTACACTACTCTTTTAGCCAAACTTAGGTCTGGACCACTTGTAGTCTGAAAGCCACAAACTGAAGACACAGGGTTTGGTGTTTAAAAAAAAAGTTACCTTTATTTGAGAAGCGAACAACCTAGAGGAGCCATTAAACGGCATTCAAAGACTGCCTTTCTGAGTTGTGCCTCTGGTTCAGGAGATTTTAAGAGAAATTAGGGGAAATAATAAAAACATTATTGTAAAATGTGTACAGTCTTAAAAAGGCAGCTAATTATTGCTTTCTTGGTCAATGCTTTGTGACCTTGTGTACACCTTCAAGATGTTGTTATTGGACTGGTTGGCCCATTTTTAGGGTTGCTGGTTGATGTATTTTCTTTTATCTCTGTTGAATGTCCTGTTTTCCTGAGGCTGTTTTTAGTGAATAATTTATAAACTCAAGCAAAGCAATAATTGACTTTTCACAAGCAATAACTGAGTTTTGCATGAATTTTGCTAGTCATGCAAAACTTCTTCCTAGATTTTTATATTGTTCTGCAACCACCCTGAATTATTCCTGTATATTGTCTCACAATGTTTTTGAATAAAACCTTCCTTACTATGCTTCAACATGCATCACTGACTTTTTTTTTCTTTAACTCACACACAGGTTACTATTTGCACTTGATCCTCTCCTCTCCTATAGAGTTAAGACTAGGGGCTCTACCTGCTCTCGATCTCATGCTATGTGAGCAGTGTTCAACTATCAACCCCTCAACCATGCTTTCTCAGAAAACTCCATTTAAAATTTCAAAACATAATGAATTTTATTTCCCTATCTTGTTTTATTTTTACAGCATTTTCACCTCCTAGTACTCCATAAAATTTACTTGTGCAACTTGAGTTTTTGTACTTTGCTAGAGAAATATGCTTAAAAACAAACTCTCCTCAAAACCCAAGAATCCTCTTCATAAATTTAGAAGAAAATAAAACAATTTAATTATTGAGTAAGTATTACAGGAGAATGTAATATTCATCACAGGCAACTCACCAAACTGCTTGCAAAGATAGAATGAAATCTCACTCTTTTTGATAGCTAACTCAATATAACCCACTTCATACTTTAAATAGGCTTTATAATGTGGGGTCAGATGACAGCAGAAGTTAGACCTATGGTTCTTCCTATAACCTGAAAGATGGGGTTGTTACCTTCCTTTATTACATTTCTTGACTTTTTAATAATCGCCATTCTGACTGACGTGAGATGGTGTCTCGTTGTGATTTGCATTTCTCTAATAATCACTGATGATGAGCTCTTTTTCATATGTTTGTTGCCTGCATAAATGTCTTCTTTTGAGAAGTGTCTGTTCATATGCTTTGCCCACTTTTTGATGAAGTTGTTTGGTTTTGACTTGTACATTTATATTCCTTATAGATTCTGGATATTAGAACTGTGAGAGATGGGTAGACTGCAAATTTTTCTCCCATTCTGTAGGTTGCCTCTTCACTCTGATGCTAGTTTATTTGGCTGTGCAGAAGCTCTTCAGTTTAATTAGATCCGATTTGTCAATTTTGGGTTTGTTGCAATTGCTTTTGGTGTTTTTGTGATGAAGTGTTTTCCCATGACTATGTCCTGAATGGTATTGCTTATGTTTTCTTCTAGTGATTTTATGTTTTTGGGTTTTATATTTAAGTCTTCAATCTATCTTAATTTTTGTATAATGTGTAAGGAGGGGGATCTAGTTTCAGTTTTCTGCATATGGTTAGCCTGTTTTCCCAGCAATATTTATTAAAAAGGGAATAATTTCCCCATTGCTTATTTTTGTCAGATTTGTCAAAAATTAGATGACTGTAGATATACGGTGTTATTTCTGAATTTTCTCTTTTGTTCTATTGGCCTATATGTCTGTTTTGGTACCAGCACCATGCTGTTTTGGTTACCGTAGCCTTGTAGTGTAGTTTGAAGTCAAGTAGCATGATGCCTCTAGGTTGTTCTTTTTGTTTAGGATTTTCTTAGCTATACAGGCTCTTTTTTGATTCCATGTAAAATTTAAAGAAGTATTTTCTAATTCTGTGAAGAATGTCAATGTAGTTTGAAGGGAGTAACATTAAATCTATAAATTACTTTGGGCAGTATGGCCATTTACATGATATTGATTCTTCCTATCCATAAGAATGGAATGTTTTTCCATTTCTTTGTGTCCGCTCTTATTTCCTTGAGCCGTGGTTTGTAGTCCTCCTTGAGAGGTCCTTCACATCCCTTGTTAGCTGTATTCCTAGGTATTTTATTCTCTTTGTAGCAATTGAGAATGGTAGTTAATTCATGATCAGGCTCTCTGCTTGACTATTGCTGGTATATAGGAATGCTTGTGATTTTTGCACATTGATTTTGTATCCTAAGATTTTACTGAAGCTGTTTGTCAGCTTAAGTTGTTTTTGGGCTGAGATGATGGAGTTGTCTAAATATAGAATCATGTCACTTGCAAAAAGGCAATTTGACTTCCTCTCTTTTTATTTGAATACTTTTTAAAAATATATTGCCTGATTGCCCTAGCCAGAACTTCCAAAACTGTATTGAATAGGAATGGTGAGAGAGGGCATGCTTGTCTTGTGCCGGTGTTCAACAGGAATGCTTACAGCTTTTGTGATTCAGTATAATATTGCCTATGGCTTTGTCACAAATAGCACTTATAATTTTGAGATATGTTTCATCAATACCTAGTTTATTGAGAGTTTTTAATATGAAGGAATGTTGAATTTTATCAAAGGACTTTTCTGCATCTATTGAAAGAATCATGTGGTTTTTGCCTTTGGCTCTGTTTATATGATGGGTTACATTTATTGATTTGCATATATTGAACCAGCCTTGCATCCCAGAGATGAAGCCAGCTCGATTGGGGTGTATAAGCTTTTTGATGTGCTGCTGGATTTAGTTTGCTAGTATTTTATTGAGGATTTTGACATCAATGTTCATCTGAGATATTGGCTTGAAGTTTTCTTTTTTTTGTTTTGTCTCTGCCATGTTGTGTTAGCAAGATGATGCTGACCTCATAAAATCAGTTAGGGAGGAGCCCCTCATTTTCAATTATTTGGAATAGTTTCAGAATAAATAGTGCCAACCTCTCTTTATACTTCTGGTAGAATTTGGCTGTGAATACATCTGGTCCTGGGCTTTTTTTGTTGGTAGGCTATTAATTACTGCCTCCATTTCAGAACTTGTTATTGGTTTAATCAGGGATTTGACTCCTTCCTGGTTTAGTCTTGGGAGAATGTATGTGTCCAGGGATTTATCCATTGCTTCTAGGTTTTCTAGTTTATTTACATAGAAGTGTTTATAGTATTCTCTGATGGTAATTTGTATATCTGTGGGGCCATTGGTGATATCCTCTTTATCATTTTTTATTGTGTCTATTTGATTCTTCTCTCCTTTCTTCAATAGTCTAGCCTGTGGTCTATCTATTTTGTTATTTTTTTCAAAAAAACTAGCTCCTGGATTCATTGATTTTTTTGAAGGGATTTTTGTGTCTCTATCTCCTTCAATTCTGCTCTGATCTTAGTTATTTCTTGTCTTTTGCTAACTTTTGGATTTGTTTGCTCTTTCTTCTCTAGTTCTTTTAATTCTGATGTCAGGGTGTTGATTTGAGATCTTTCCAGCTTTCTGATGTTGGCACTTCGTGCTATAAATTTCCCTTTTAACAATACTTTAGCTATGTCCCAGTGATTCTGACAAGTTGTCTCTTTGTTCTCATTGGTTACAAAGAATTTCTTGATTTCTGCATTACTTTTGTTATTTAGCTAGGAGTCAAGGAGGGGCGGGTTGTTCAATATCCATGAAACTGTGCGGTTTGAGTGAGCTTCTGAATCCTGAGTTCTAATTTGATTGCATTGACAAGGGCACTTATAACAGTTGCCCTTGTTTGTTATAATTTCCATTCCTTTGCATTTGCAGAGGAGTGTTTCACTTCCAATTATGGTTGATTTTAGAATAAGCCCCACGTGGCACTGAGAATAGTGTATATTCTTTTGATTTGGGGTGGAGAGTTCTGTAGACGTCTGTTAGGTCCACTTGATCCAGAGCAGAGTTCAAATCCTGAATATCCGTGTTAAATTTCTGTATTGTTGGTCTGTTTCATATTGACAGTTGGGGGTTAAAGTCTCCCACTATTATTGTGTGGGAGTCTAAGTTTCCTTGTAGGTCTCTTATAACTGGCTTTATGAATCTGGATGCTACTGTATTTGGTGCATCTGTATTTAGAATAGTTAGTTTCTCTTGTTGAATTGATCCCTTTACCGTCATTTAATGCCCTTGTTTTACTTTTTTGACCTCTGTTGCTTTAAAGTCTGCTTTATCAGAGAGTAGGATTGCAACTTCTGCTTTCCTTTGCTTTCCATTTGCTTGGTAAACTCTCCTCTATCGCTTTATTTTAGCCTCTGTGTGTCTTTGCGCATGAGATGGATCTCCTAAATATAGCACACTGATGGGTCTTCATATTTTATCCAATTTGCCAGTCTGTGTCTTTTAATTGGGGATTTCACCCATTTACATTTAAGGCTAAAATTGTTATGTGTGATTTTGATCCCGTCATCATGATGCTAGCTGGTTATTTTGCACACTAGTTGATGCAGTTTCTTCATACTATCATTGGTCATCATATTTTGCTGTGTTACTTCAGTGGCTGGTACCAGATTTTCCTTTTCATATTTAGTGGTTCCTTTGGGACCTCTTGAAAGGCAGGCCTGGTGGTGATGAAGTTCCTTATCATTTCCTTGTGTGGAAAGCATTTTCTTTCTCCTTCACTTATGAAGCTTAGTTTGCCTGGGTATGAAATTCTGGGTTGAAAATTCTTTTCTTTAAGTATGTTGAATAGTTGCCCCACTCTCTTCTAGCTTGTAGGGTTTCTGCTGAGATATCTGCTGTTAGTCTAATGGGCTTCCCTTTGTAGGTGACCTGAACTTTCTCTCTGGCTGCCCTTAATAGTTTTTCCTTCATTTCAACCTTGGAGAATCTGTTGATTATGCATCTTGGGGTTGATCTACTCATGAAATATCTCAGTGGTGTTGTCTGCATTTCCTGAATTTGAATGTTGGCCTGTCTTTCTAGGTTGGGGTAAGTTCTCCCGGATGATATCCTGAAGTGTGTTTTCCAACTTGGTGCCATTCTGAATGTCTTGTGTTTATGCATTATCCCATATTTCTCACAGGTTTTGTTTGCTTCTTTTTATTCTTTTTTCTCTAATCTTGTCTGCATGCTTTATGTCAGCAGGATGGCCTTCAAACTCTGATATCCTTTTGTCTGCTTGATATCTAATCTTGTCTACATGCCTTATTTCAGTAAGTTGATCTTCATTCTCTGATGTCCTTTCTTCTGTTTGATCAATTCAGCTATTGATACCTGTGTGTGCTTCAGGAAGTTCTCATGCTGTGTTTTTCAGCTCCATCTTGTCATTTTTGTTCCTCTCTAAACTGGTTATTTTAGTAAGCAGCTACAGTAACTTTTTATCCAGGTTCTTAGCTTCTTTACTTTGGGTTAGAACATGCTCCTTTAGCTCAACGGAGTTTGTTATTACCCACCTTCTGAAGACTACTTCGTCAATTCATCCATCTCATTTTCCATCCAGTTCTGCACCCTTCCTGGAAAGGTACTGCAATCATTTGGAGGAGAAGAGACATTCTGTCTCCTGGAAATTTTAGTGTTTTGCACTGGTTTTTTGCTCATTTTCATGGATTTACCTACTTTTGATCTTTGAAGCTGATGATCTTTGGAAGCGGTTTTTTGGGTGGGTATTTTTGTTGATGTTTTGATTGTTGTTGCTTTCTGTTAGTTTTTCTTCTAAGCCAGGCCCCACTTCTGGAGGTCTGCTATAGTTTGCTGGGGGCCCATTCCAGGCCCTGTTGGCCTGGGTATCACCAGTGGAGGCCATAAAACAGCAAAGGTTGCTGCCTGCTGCTTCCTCAAAGCTTCGTCCCAGAGGAGCACCAGCTTGTTGCCAGCCAGAGCTCTCCTGTATGAGGTGTCTGTCGACCCCTATTGGGAGGTCTCTCCCAGTCAGGAGGCATCTGGTCAGGACCTGCTTGAGAAGGCCATCTGTCCCTTAGCAGAGCTGTAGCACTGTGCTGGGAGAACCCCCTTGTCAGAATCAGCTGCTCTCTTCAGACCCGGCAGGCAGGAAAGATTAAGTCCACTGAACCTGTGACTGCAGCCTGTCCTCCCTCCAGGTGCTCTGTCCCAGGACGATGACAGTTCTGTCTGTAAGCCCCTGAATGGAGCTTCTGGATTTCCTGCAGAGATGCCCTGCCCTGTGAGGAGAAATCTAGAAAAGCAGTCTGTCCACAGCTCATTTGCTGTGCTGTGGTGAATTCTGCTCAGTACAAACCTCCCATTCTCCTTAGCACCAGCAGGGTAAAACCGCCTACTAAGCCACAGTAACGGTGACCTCCTCGTTTCCCTACCCACACCAACACCAAACTCGATAGTCCCAGGCCGACTCCAGACTGCGGTGCTGTCAGTGGGAATTTCAAGCCAGTGGTTCTTAGCTTGCTGGGCTCAATGGGAGTAGGATTCGGAGACCAAGACCACTTGGCTCGCTGGCTTCAGCCCCCTTTCCAGGGGAGTGGACAGTTCTCCTGTTGCACTGGAGTTCTAGGTGCCGTTGGAGTCTGAAAAATTTCCTGCAACTCAGCACCAGCTCCAACAGCCACCCCGTTTTGTGTTCGAAACCCAGGGCCCTGGCAGTGTAGGCTCACAAGGAAATATCTTATTCTGTGGATTGCAAAAATCCACGGAAAGAGCGTAGTACCCCAGGCTGGCAGCACAGTCCCTCACCTCTTTGCTTGGCTAGGGGAGGGAGGTCCCCTGGCTCTTTGCACCTCCTGGATGAAACGATGCCCCACCCTGCTTCTGCTAACTCTCTATGGGTCACACCCACTACTTAGCCAGTCCCAATGAGATGAACTGGGGACCTCAGTTGGAAATACAGAAATCACCCATCTTCTGCATTGGCCTCACTGGGAGCTGTTTCTATTCGGCCATCTTGGCCCCTCTTCCAGTATATTAACTTTAATTCCAAAGCAGATTTCAAGAGGATCAATAAAATTTTGAGTTTATACATTGGGAAAAGAAGAAGTGTATGCTACCTGGATGCATAGCACAAATTTTATGATACTGAAAATGCATAAAACTTTAATGTGCTGATAAGAATTAAGATGGTGGATAAGAGGCAGGACTAGCTTGCAGCTCCCACTCAAATGGACAGAGTAGCATCTGGAAACTCAAACATTGTGAACTTTTGCTCCAAGAACTACTGCAGAAACATACCGGGAAAGCTGAGAGAATCCACAGACCCTTTGAAGGAACTGGATTCCTGCTGTAGGCTCCCTGAGACACAGAAAACCTGTGAGTCTGCTTGCTTTCTCAACAGAGAGGCTCGTGTTCTGGAACAAGTTCTCAGCCCTGGTCACCAGCTTCCTGGAAACAGACTCTGTGCTGTTGCGGAGGCACGCTGAAAGTATGACTGGCCTTTAGGACTCCTGGCTGTGTGGGAGCTGGGTGAGGCCTGTAACCGCTGGCTTTCTCTCACTTTCCTGGTGACCTGTTTGTTGCAGCAGAGGTAGCCATAATCCCCCTGGGAATATAACTCCATTGGACTGGAAACTACACCCCCATTGACCTCACAGCAGCAGCACAGCAAGCTCCACCCAAGGAGAGGCTGAGCTCAGACAAGCTTATCTTAGCCCACACCTGGTGGACCTTCTCTACCCACCTTGGGGGCCGAAGACAAAGGTAATAATCTCTTGGGTGCTCTAAGGCCATGCCCACCAGCTGAGAAATATGAATACTTGAAAAGGTGCCCCTAGGGCACATAACAACAGGTTATCTAAAGTCAAGATGAAGGAAAGAATCGTAAGAGCTATGACACAAAAGCATCAGGTAACTTATAAAGAAAAACCTGCCAGATTAACAGCAGATTTCTCACCAGAAACTTTATAAGATAGAAGGAATTGGGGTCTTATTTTCAGCCCCTTTGAACAAAACAATTATCAGCCAAGAATTTTCTATTCAGTGAAACTAATCTTCTTAAAGGAAGTAAAGATACAGTCATTTCCAGACAAACAAATGCTGGGAGAATTCACCATTACCAACCCAGCACTATAAGAACTGCTATAAGGAGTTCTAAACTTGAAACAAATTCTTGGATTACACCAAAACAGAACCGCCCTAAAGCATAAATATCACATGACATACATAACAATAACAGAATGAAAATGAAACCAACAAAGAGCACAACAGATAGAATAGTACTTCACATCTCAATACTATCATTAATGTTAGTGGCCTAAATGTTCCACTTAAAAGATACAGAATGACAGAATAGATAAGAATTTGACAACCAAGCATCCCCATCTTCATGAGATTCACCTAACACATAAGGACTTACATAAACTTAATATAAAGGGGTGGAAGAAGATATTCCATGCAAATGTAAACCAAAGGTGCACAGGAGTACCTACTATCATATCAGAAAAAAAACAAACTTTAAAGCATCAGCAGATAAAAAAAAAGACAAAGAGCAACAGTATATAATGATAAAAGGACTAGTACAACAGGAAAATATCATAATTGTAAATATATATCTACCTAATTGTGAAACTCCCAAATATATAAAAAAATTATTACCAGTCCTAAGAAATCAGATAGGCAACAATACAAAAATACTGGGATACTTTAATACTCAACGGAGAACACTAGACATATCATCCAAACAGAAAGTCAACTAAGAAACAATGAAATTAAACTATACGCTACAACAAATGGACTTAACAGATATTTACAGAACATTCTACCCAACAACTGCAGAATATACATTCTATTCATCAGCATATGGAACATTCTCTAAGATAGGCCATATGATAGGCCACAAAACAAGCCTCAGTATATTTAAGAAAATCAAAATTATATCCAGTACTCTCTGAGACCACAGTGGAATAAAATCGGAAATCAACTCCAAAGGAACACTCAAAACCAGGCAAATACATGGAATTTCAACAATCTGCACCTGAAAGATCATTGAGTAAACAATAAAATCAAGAGGGAAACTAAAAAAGAATTATTTAAACTGAATGAAAATAGTGACACAGCCTATCAAAACCACTGGGATACAGCAAAAGCAGTACTAAGAGGAAAGTTCATAACATTAAATGCCTATATCAAAAAGTCTGAAAGAACACAAATAGACAATCTAAGGTCATACCTCACTGAACTGGATAAACAAAAACAATCCAAACCCAAGCCTTGATGAAGAGAAGAAATAACGAAGATCAGAGGAGAACTAAATGAAATTGAAACAAAAAAATACAAAAGATAAATGAAACAAGAAGCTGATTCTTTGAGAAGATAAATAAAATAGACAGACAATTAGTGAGATTACCCAAGAAAAGATTTAAATAAGCTCAACTAGAAATGAAACAGGTGCCAGACGTGGTGGCTCATGCCTGTAATCCTTGCACTTTGGGAGGCCGAGGCAGGGAGATCACGAGGTCAGGAGTTCGAGACCAGCGTGACCAACATGGTCAAACCCCGTCTCTACCAAAAATATGAAAATTAGCCAGGCATGGTGGGATGTGCCTGTAATCCCAGCTACTCAGAAGGCTGAGGCAGGAGAATCTCTTGAACCCAGGAGGCGCAGGTTGCAGTGAGCCCAGATTGCACCACTGCACTCCAGCCTGGGCAACAAAACAAGATTCTGTTGAAAGAAAGAGAAAAGAAAGGAAGGAAGGAAGGAAGGAAGGAAGGAAGGAAGGAAGGAAGGAAGGAAGGAAGGAAGGAAGGAAACAGGCGATAAAAAAAACTGGTACCACAGAAACACAAAAAAATTACTCAAGGCTACTATGAACACTTTTATGCACATAAACTAAAAGACCTAGAGAAGATGGATAAATTTCTGGAAATGTATAAAACTCCAAGATTAAATGAGGAAGTTATAAAATCTCTGAACAGACCAAAAATAAGCAGCGAGATTGAAATGGTAATAAAAAAAATGTCAACACCAAAAAGGCCAGGACCAGACAGGTTCACAGTTGAATTCTATCAGACATTCAAAGAAGAATTAGTGCCAATCCTATTAACCCTATTCCAAAAGATAAAGAGGGAATTTTCCCTAAATCATTCTATGAAGCCACTATCACCCTAATACCAAAAGCAGACAAGGACATAACAAAAATAAAACTACAGACCAATATCCCCAATGAACACTGATGAAAAATTCATCAAAAAAATACTAGCAAACCAAATTCAACAGCATATCAAAAAGATAATCCACCACGTACAAGTGGGTTTTATACTGGGGATGCAGGGATGGTTTAACATACGTAAGTCAATGAATATGATATATCCCACATAAACAGAATTAAACAGGAAAATCACATTATCATCATGATAGACAAGAAAAAGCATTTGACAAAATCCAGCATGCCTTTACGATTAAAATCCTCAGCAAAATCGGTGTAGAAGGGACATACCATAAGATAAGCAAAGCCAATTGTGACAAATCCACAGCCAATAATAATCTGAATGGGGAAAAGCTGAAAGCATTTCCCCTAAGAAACGGAATAAGACAAGGATGTCCATGTCCACTCTCACCACTCCTATTCAGTATTTGACCATACTGCCAAAGGCAATCTACAAATTCAATACAATTCCCATCAAAATGCCACCATCATTCTTCACAAAACTAGAAAAAAAGTCATAAAATTCATATGGAATCAAAATGGAGCCTTCATAACCAAAGCAAAACTAAAAAATAACAAATCTGGAAATATCACATTGCCCAACTTCAGACTGTGCTATAAAGCCATAATCATGAAAGCAGGGTAGTGGTATAAAAATCGGCACATAGACTAATGGAACAGAATAGAGAACCCAGAAATAATGCCAAACGTTTACAGCTAACTGGCTTTCCACACAGCAAACAAAAACATAAACTGGAGAAAGGACAACCTATTCAACAAATGGTGCTGGAATAATTGGCAAGCCACATGTAGGAGAATGAAACTGAATCCTCATCTCTCACCTTATACAAAAATAAACTCAAGGTGGATCAAAGCCTTACATCTAAAACCTGAAACCATAAAGATTCTACAAGATAACATTGGCAACACCCTTCTAGACATTGGCTTAGGCAAAGACTTCATGACCAAGAACCCAAAAGAAAATGCAAAAAAAAAAATGGGATAAAAAATAAGACTAAATTAAACTAAAAAACTTCTGCACAGCAAAAGAAATAATCAACAGAGTTAAGAGACAAACCAGAGAATGGGAGAAAAATCTTCACAGTCTATGCATCTGACAATCGAATAATATCCAGAATCTAAAAAGAACTCAAACAAATCAGCAAGAAGAAAATAAACAATCCCATCAAACTGGGATTGGGCTAAGGGACTTGAATAGACAATTCTCAACAGGATATACAAATGGCCAATAAGCATATGAAAAAATGCTGAACATCACTAATTATCAGAGAAATGCAAATCAAAACCACAGTGCAATACAACTTCACTCTTGCAAGAATGGCCATAATCAGAAAATCAAACAATAATAGATGTTGGCATGGATGTGGAGAAAAGGAAACCCTTTTACACAGTTGATGGGAATGTGAACTGTTACAAGACTAGGCAAAACAGTGTGAAGATTCCTTAAACAACTAAAAGTAGATTCACCATTTGATCCAGCAATACCACTACAAGGTTAGTACTCAGAAGAAAAGAAGTCATTATATGAAAAAGATACTTACATGTTGCATGTTTATAGCAACACAATTTGCAATTGCAGCAATGTGGAAGCAGCCTAAATGCCCATCACTCAATGAGTGGATAAATAAAAGTTGGTATATATATATATATATATATATATACACACACCATGGAATACTACTCAGCCATAAAAAGGAATGAATTAATAGCATTTGCAGCAACCTGGTTGGAATTGGAGACTATCATACAAAGTGAAGTCACTCAGGAATGGAAAACCAAACATCATACGTTCTCACTCACATGTGCCAGCTAAGTTATGAGACATCCAGGCATAAGAATGATACACTGGACTTTGGGGACTTGGAGTAAATATTGGGGACTGGAGAGGGAAAAAGACTATATATTGGGTACAGTGAACACTACTTGGTTGATGGCTGCACCGACATCTCAGAAATCACCACTAAAGAACTTATTAATGTAATCAAACACTACTTGTTTCCCAAAAAGATAATTTAAAAATTAAAAAAATATTTAATGTCTTTATTTACAATGCCTTATATTGTAGTCACAACTGAATTGAATATAAACATATCTAAAATAGTTTATCTGAAATAAATTATATACCTGCCCATAAATATGTTGAACAATGCACACAATCAATGATATTTTTAGGACTTTATAGAAAAAGAAGGATATTAGAAAGAATAATTTAGCAGACATCAAAACATAAAGTTTATGAGGTAACTCTCTCTCCAGACTTGCCCTTTCCTGAGATCTTCATGAATGCTCTGGTCACTTCCTTGTTGCGGAGGCTGTAGATGAGGGGATTCAGCATGGGAGTGAGGATGGTGTAGAATACAGACACCAGCTTGTCCTGCGTTGGGGAGCGATCAGATGTGGGCTGTATGTACATGAACAAACCTGCTCCATAGAACATTCCCACCACCATGAGGTGAGAGGAACAGGTCGTGAAAGCTTTGCGACGACCCTCTCCAGATCCCATGTGAATGACAGCCAGAATAACTCCAGCATAGGAAGCAATGATGATTGCAACAGGGAAAACAAGCATTACTATAGAGCAAATGAAAATAACCTTTTCAAATATTGATGTGTCATTGCATGAGAGGATTAGTAGGGAAGGTAACTCACAGAAGAAGTGGGCTATTTCCCGAGACCCACAGTAGGAGAAGGAAAATGTGGCTACAGCATAAATGATTCCATCTGTAGAGCCCAGGATCCAGGAGAAGGCAGTCATAAGTCTACAAATTTTGGGTCTCATGAGATTGGTGTATCTTAGAGGGTGGCAAATGGCAATGTAGCAGTCATAAGACATAACAGCCAACAGAAAGCATTCAGAGCCAAGCAGTGATACACAGAAGAAAATTTGTGTGGCACAGCCAGCCATAGAAATGGACTTGCTGCCAGACAAGTAGTTGAAGGCCATCTTGGGTACGGTGGTGCAGATGAGCCTGACGTCCATGGGGGACAGTTGACTGAGGAGGAAGTACATGGGGGTATGGAGCTGGGTATCCAGGTAGATTAGGAGAACCATGAGGGAGTTTCCCATGAAGGCCACCTAAAAGATGCACAGGACCAGAAAGAAGAGGAAGGTGCGGGTGGGGCTGTGATTGAAGATTCCCAGGAGGATGAAGCCGGAGTTGAAGGTCTGATTCTCCCATGCCATGATGAATATGTTTTTTCCCTAGCACCACAAAACCAGTTCATTAATTTGGCAAAACTTTACTTGGTACCTTATAAAGCATGTGATTGTGGTAAATTCTGTAGTTGAGTGATCAATACAGCATGACTAGAAGTAGGAAACTCAAAGGTTAAGAATTATAGAATCATAAAGAAATATGTTATTTCAGCACTGTCTCACTTATAAAATTATGGAGCTAAGTTTTTCTTCTGAGCATCCTTTTTATCCATTAAAAATTAGGGCAATCGATTGGGTGGCAGCCAAGATGGCCGAATAGGAACAGCTCCGGTCTACAGCTCCCAGCACGAGCGACGCAGAAGACGGGTGATTTCTGCATTTCCCTCTGAGGTACCAGGTTCATCTCACTAGGGAGTGCAGGACAGTAGGTGCAGCGCACCATGCACGAGCACCCAATACAGGACCACCCAGATTCATAAAGCAAGTCCTGAGTGACCTACAAAGAGACTTAGACTCCCACACAATAATAATGGGAGACTTTAACACCCCACTGTCAACATTAGACAGATCAACGAGACAGAAAATCAACAAGGATACCCAGCAATTGAACTCAGCTCTGCACCAAGCGGACCTAATAGACATCTACAGAACTCTCCACCCCAAATCAACAGAATATACACTTTTTCAGCACCACAACACACCTATTCCAAAATTGACCACATAGTTGGAAGTAAAGCTCTCCTCAGCAAATGTAAAAGAACAGAAATTATAACAAACTGTCTCTCAGACCACAGTGCAATCAAACTAGAACTTGGGGTTAAGAAACTCACTCAAAACTGCTCAACTACATGGAAACTGAACAACCTGCTCCTGAATGACTACTGGGTACATAATGAAATGAAGGCAGAAATAAAGATGTTCTTTGAAACCAACGAGAACAAAGACACAACATACCAGAATCTCTGGGACACATTCAAAGCAGTGTGTAGAGGGAAATTTATAGCACTAAATGCCCACAAGAGAAAGCAGGAAAGATCCAAAATTGACACCCTAACATCACAATTAAAAGAACTAGAAAAGCAAGAGCAAACACATTCAAAAGCTAGCAGAAGGCAAGAAATAACTAAAACCAGAGCACAACTGAAGGAAATAGAGACACAAAAAACCCTTCAAAAAATTAACGAATCCAGGAGCTGGTTTTTTGAAAGGATCAACAAAATTGATAGACTGCTAGCATGACTAATAAAAAAAAAGAGAGAAGAATCAAATAGATGCAATAAAAAAATGACAAAGGGGACATCACCACCGATCCCACAGAAATACAAACTACCATCAGAGAGTACTACAAACACCTCTACGCAAATAAACTAGAAAATCTAGAAGAAATGGATAAATTCCTCGACACATACACCCTCCCAAGACTAAACCAGGAAGAAGTTGAATCTCTGAATAGACCAATAACAGGCTCTGAAATTGTGGCAATAATCAATAGCTTACCAACCAAAAAGAGTCCAGGACCAGATTGATTCACAGCCGAATTCTACCAGAGGTACAAGGAGGAACTGGTACCATTCCTTCTGAAACTATTCCAATCAATAGAAAAGGAGGGAATCCTCCCTAACTCATTTTATGAGGCCAGCATCATCCTGATACCAAAGCCAGGCAGAGACACAACCAAAAAAGAGAATTTTAGACCAATATCCTTGATGAACATTGATGCAAAAATCCTCAATAAAATACTGGCAAACTGAATCCAGCAGCACATCAAAAAGCTTATCCACCATGATCGAGTGGGCTTCATCCCTGGGATGCAAGGCTGCTTCAATATACGCAAATCAATAAATGTAATCCAGCATATAAACAGAACCAAAGACAAAAACCACATGATTATCTCAGTAGATGCAGAAAAGGCCTTTGACAAAAGTTAACAACCCTTCATGCTAAAAATTCTCAATAAATTAGGTATTGATGGGACTTATCTCAAAATCATAAGAGCTATCTATGACAAACCCACAGCCAATATCATACTGAATGGGCAAAAACTGGAAGCATTCCCTTTGAAAACTGGCACAAGACAGGGATGCCCTCTCTCACCACTCCTATTCAACATAGTGTTGGAAGTTCTGGCCAGGGCAATCAGGCAGGACAAGGAAATAAAGGGTATTCAATTAGGAAAAGAGGAAGTCAAATTGTCCCTGTTTGCAGATGACATGATTGTATATCTAGAAAACCCCATTGTCTCAGCCCAAAATCTCCTTAAGCTGATAAGCAACTTCAGCAAAGTCTCAGGATACAAAATCAATGTACAAAAATCACAAGCATTCTTATACACCAATAACAGACAAACAGAGAGCCAAATCATGAGTGGACTCCCATTCACAATTGCTTCAAAGAGAATAAAATACCTAGGAATCCAACTTACAAGGGATGTGAAGGACCTCTTCAAGGAGAACTACAAACCACTGCTCAATGAAATAAAAGAGGATACAAACAAATTGAAGAACATTCCTTGCTCATGGGTAGGAAGAATCAATATCGTGAAAATGGCCATACTGCCCAAGGTAATTTATAGATTCAATGCCAAACCCATCAAGGTACCAATGACTTTCTTCACAGAATTGGAAAAAACTACTTTAAAGTTCATATGGAACCAGAAAAGAGCCCGCTTCGCCAAGTCAATCCTAAGCCAAAAGAACAAAGCTGGAGGCATCACGCTACCTGACTTCAAACTATACTACAAGGCTACAGTAACCAAAACAGCATGGTACTGGTACCAAAACAGAGATATAGATCAATGGAACAGAACAGAGCCCTCAGAAATAACGCCCCATATCTACAACTATCTGATCTTTGACAAACCTGAGAAAAACAAGCAATGGGGAAAGGATTCCCTATTTAATAAATGGTGCTAGGAAAACTGGCTAGCCATATGTAGAAAGCTGAAGCTGGATCCCTTCCTTACACCTTACACAAACATTAATTCAAGATGGATTAAAGACTTAAATGTTAGACCTACACGCATAAAAACCCTAGAAGAAAACCTAGGCATTACCATTCAGGACATAGGCATGGGCAAGACTTCATGTCTAAAACACCAAAAGCAATGGCAACAAAAGACAAAATTGACAAATGGGATCTAATTAAACTAAAGAGCTTCTGCACAGCAAAAGAAACTACCATCAGAGTGAACAGGCAACCTACAGAATGGGAGAAAATTTTTGCAACCTACTCATCTGACAAAGGGCTAATATCCAGAATCTACAATGAACTCAAACAAACTTACAAGAAAAAAACAAACAACCCCATCAAAAAGTGGGTGAAGGACATGAACAGACACTTCTCAAAAGAAGACATTTATGCAGCCAAAAGACACATGAAAAAATGCTCATCATCACTGGCCATCAGAGAAATGCAAATCAAAACCACAATGAGATACCATCTCACACCAGTTAGAATGGCAATCATTAAAAAGTCAGGAAACAACAGGTGCTGGAGAGGATGTGGAGAAATAGGAATGCTTTTACACTGTTGGTGGGAGTGAAAATTAGTTCAACCATTGTGGAACTCAGTGTGGCGATTCCTCAGGTATCTAGAACTAGAAATACCATTTGACCCAGCCATCCCATTACTGGGTATACACCCAAAGGACTATAAATCATGCTGCTATAAAGACACATGCACACGTATGTTTATTGCGGCACTATTCACAATAGCAAAGACTTGCAACCAACCCAAATGTCCAACAATGATAGACTGGATTAAGAAAATGTGGCACATATACACCATGGAATACTATGCAGCCATACAAAATGATGAGTTCATGTCCTTTGTAGGGACATGGATGAAATTGGAAATCATCATTCTCAGTAAACTATCGCAAGGACAAAAAACCAAACACCGCATGTTCTCACTCATAGGTGGAAATTGAACATTGAGAACACATGGATACAGGAAGGGGATCATCACACTCTGGGGACTGTTGTGGGGTGGGGGGAGGGGGGAGGGATAGCATTAGGAGATGTACCTAATGCTGAATGACTAGTTAATGGGTGCAGCACACCAGCATGGCACATGTATACATATGTAACTGACCTGCACATTGTGCACATGTACCCTAAATCTTAAAGTATAATAATAATAAAATAAAATAAATTAAATTAAAAAGAAAAATTAAAATTAAAATTAAAAAAAAGAAGCATGGATGTTAGCTTGCTAGTGGGTACAAATCAGGTAGATGATTTTTCATTAATGAAAGAGTGCATGGTTAAAAAAAAGAAATATTATAGAAATTTAATATGTAGATAAATAACATGTTTTGACTAAAACATGATATACTTAAAAACCACAAATCTCTCTCCATTGACACATGGACTAATATAAAGATTAACTCTATAAAGTATAATAATAAAAAAATAAAATAAAATAAATCTAAATAATATATGTATTTTATTTTTAAGAATAAGACCCACAGTCGGCTGGGCATGGTGACTCACGCCTGTAATCCCAACACTTTAGGAGGCCAAGGCAGGTGGATCAACTGAGGTCAGGAGTTTGAAACCAGCCTGGCCAACATGGTGAAACCCCATCTCTACTTAAATAATACAAAACATTAGCTGGGCATGGTGGTACACACCTGTAATCCCAGCTACTAGGGAGGCTGAGACAGTAGAATTGCTTGAACCCAGGAGGTGGGGGTTGCAGTGAGCCAAGATCACACCATTGCACTCCAGACTGGGGGACAAGATAATGTAAACAAGGGGGTAACTTTAGGGGTACTTACCCAAGAACATGGGGGCCACCGGCAACCTGTAGCCTTCCTATCAAAGGTTTTAGACCCCATAACCTGTGGATGGCCCGAATGTGGTCCATCTATTGCAGCCACCACCTTGTTAACTGAAGAAAGCAGACAGCTAACCTTTGGGGAAATTTGGTTGTAAGCACATCCCATCAAGTTAGAACTATTTTAAACCAGAAAGCAGGAAGATGGCTCACTGATTTAAAAGTATCAGTGGCTCAAGGATTTTAAAGTATGAAGCTATCCTATTAGAAAGGGATGATTTAACCCTAACCACTGATAATTCACTTAACCCAGCAGGTTTCCTAACAGGGAATCCAAATCTAAAAGGACCTGAGCATCAGTGTTTAGATTTAATTGATTATCACACAAAAGTAAGGTCCGATTTAATACAGACCCCTTTCAAAACAGGGCAGCACTTATTTCAGATGGCTTTTCCCAGGTAATTGAAGGGAAAAAACACAAAGGTTATTCAGTAGTTTATGGGGAAGCTCTCTCAGAAATAGAGTCAGGAAGATTGCCTAATAATTGGTCTGCCCAAACTTGTGAATCATTTGCATTAAATCAGGCGTTGAAACACTTGCAAAACCAGAAAGGGGCTATTTATACTGATTCCAAGTATGCCTTCGGGGTAGCTCACACCTTTGGAAAAATTTGGACGAATAGAAAATATTGATTCAGATAATGGGACTCATTTCACTGTGCATGTCATTAAGAAATTAACCCAAACACTAGACATAACATGGGAATACCATACTCCCTGGCACCCACCTTCATCAGGAAGAGTGGAGAAAATGAACCAAACTTTGAAGAGCCACTTGACCAAATTAGTCTTAGACACACGGTTGCCATGGACCAAATGCCTTCCCATTGCCTTGTTAAGAATCCAAACTGCCCCTCAGAAATATGTTGGTATAGCTCCTTATGAGATGCTATATGGGTTGCCCTATTTACAATCCACTGCTGACATTCATACTTGGTCTACCACTTTCTCTTCCCTCAGAACTAAAGGTCTTTTAGCACAGACACTACCCCTAGAGTTCCCAGCATACCAGCATCAGCCTGGGGATAACATCCTCATCAAAAGTCGCAAAGAAGGAAAACTCAAACCGGCTTGGGAAGGACCCTACCTAGTGCTTCTAACCACCGAGACCTCAGCATAAAGAGGATGGACTTATCATACCCGAGTCAAGAAGGCATCACCACCTCCAGAGCCATGGACCATTGTTCTGGGGGAGAGTCCTACCAAACTAAAGCTAAGAAAAATTGAACCCTCTTAAATCTCCTTTATCCCTTCCATACCCAATGACCAGTCGGATGGTCTTCCAGCCGACCCGGCATGAGCTGTATGGTAGCTCTCTTCCAAGACCCCACAGCCTGGGGTAATGAATTCTACTCAGCTCTCTCTCTCTCTCTGCTATTCCCTGAAGTCTGACACCCTGCAGGTCAGCCCCCGAGGGCCATCCAGCCTCCGTCTCCTGATGCCAATTTTACCTCATGTTTCTCACGGCAGGGGGAAAATTTAGCCTTCGCTGGAGACCTAACGGGATGCAGGGAGCTTAAGCCCTTCCAAGAGCTTACCAACCAGTCTGTCCTTATTCCATCCCTAATAACACAGCCCCTGATGGAACAATTAAAAAGACCTTAAGCCTTACCTCTTGCAGTTGTTACAGGTTATTCTTGCAGGATGCTGCATTATACCTTGTCTTCATGGATTAGTGCAGAGACTATAAAAACAGCTCTCACCAAAACCTTTAATTCTCCCCCGTCTGATTCAGATAAGCTCCCACTTTAAGAAAACCAAGCAGAACAGCAGAGTCAAAACATGCTAAAAAGTTTGAACAGGAAGAATTATAAAAAGAAAGAGGGGGAAATTGTTGGATACAGTGAGTTTCTCTTCAAAGGTTCCGCTTGTTCAACTCCCTCTTTCTTTGCTCTCTGTTTTCAATGCCTAACTTCCTTGCCTCCTTGCCCCTAGTTACGGTAAACAACCTTCCAGCCGTTCCCAATCTGTAACACACATCTGTTCTCAATCTGTAACCCACATCCATTCCCAATCTGTAACAACCCACATCTGTTCCTTATTTGGCACCCTTAGTTCGGAAACTGCTCTTCCTGCAACTGCTGTAGCCCAGACCCCTGCTCCATTTGAAGTAGCCAATCGGGATCAGCTTAGATTGTGCTGTCCGACTCCAGCCAATGGGGACCACACACAGTAACAGGGACTGACTGCGTGGATATGTGTGGTATTTAATGATGCATAATTTTTTCTTCAATTGTATGTATTAACATAGCGCATATGAATAAATTTGATTTTAAAATTAAAATTAGTTTAAAAATTTAATCTGATTACAATAATATATGAATATATAACTTCAAGAAGTAGTCAAGCTGTTTCTAAAGTTCATCACATGCATAATTAACATGAAAAAATTGTCAGAAAAGTCCTGCAAAAAAAAGTTAGACTATTACTGAATTGAAAAACTAATATATTAAAATATATTATAAAGTAATAAAAATTAAAATTATATACCGTTTACTAGCATTTGAAACTGCTAGAGAAGAGAACTTGTTCAGTTAACCATGTTGGGACAACCAGTTAACCAGTAACAACAACCAAAATGAAGTTAATGCTTACATTTTTATAAGAAAATAAACTCCAAATAGGCATTAGACTTGTTAATAAAAAGACCTTTTCAAAAAAATCAGAAAAAAATTAAAAACCCTGGAGCTCAAAAACCTTTAAAAATATGATACAAAATCTATCACTGAAAAAAGATTTATTTATAAATGTGACTATTTTAAAACAATTCTTGATTGTAGTGATCATTATAAAGAAAAACAAAAGACACATAAAACTTAAAACAATGTTGAATTATATTGCACAGACACAGACACAGATTTATACTGGAAATATAAAGGGTTCCAAACATCTATATATATATATATATATACCAATAACTCTATGGTAAAATAGGTAACATTTCCCAGAAAATAAAACACAAATAGCTCTAAAAAATAGAAAAAGATGTTGTCTCATTTATGAAAATGTAAATGGCACTTAGAAATAAATATTCAGTTATATGTTTGCAAACTATCAAAATGTTTTAGGGCACAATGTGTTTTTTGGTACAAAATGGCAAACACATTCTCACATATTATTACTGAGATGCAAATTTGTATAAATTTTTGGAAGAATTACCTAATGGATAGATCAATTATATATCTACACACACTAAGTAATTTAAATTATATGAATTATGTACATATATGTACATATATAATACTTAAATATACTTACGTATAATATAAATATATGTGAACATATATTTATGTACACTTATTTAAGTATATATGAATGATATATAAGTATATATCTTTTAAATATACTTATATATGTTAAATATACTTATCTACTAACCTTTTTATGTGTATATACTTATGTATATCATATATAAAATATATATATAACTTCTGTATATACTTAAGTATATATAAATATATACTTCTATATATTATATATTATATATGCTTATATGTAACATATATGCTTATGTAAGTATACAGGTATACATATACATATGTATACATATATGTATAAACTTATCAAAAAGAGAAAGTTTAAGCACATGTACCAAAGACATATAAAAGAAAATTCATAGCAGCATTATTCAATATAGTCAGAAACTGAAAATTCCTAGAGTAGAATGGATTAATGAATGATGATATGTTAATATAAAACAGAGTATTAAACCTTACTGTAAAAACTAGAGAGATGAAAAGTAATAGCACTATTCAACATTACTACATGTATCTGAATTATGAAACTTTAAAAATAAAAGAAATACACACAAAAATTTTGTGGATGATAAATTTGATTATTATGACTTCCAATGTCTTCCTATAGAGTGCAAATTTCATACTGTTTGGAATTAGTGTGGTATTTTCTATTAAATTTGGAAATTTACTAGTGCTGTAACCCAGCAGTTCCTGGGTATACAATCAATTAGAGCTCTGCACAGAACAACCAGAAGATTTCTACAGCAATCTGTGTTACAGCATCAGATGTGATAGAATCCAAATAGGTACCCATCAACCCTGAAATGGCTAAATGTATTGCAATGAGAAGATAACATGAAATGTTTTTATTACAATAAAAATGAAAGAGAGACACAAATGTGTCCCATTAATGTAAAACTCACCAGAGACCAAACTCAGTAGAATAAGCAGATTAAAATTAATGTATGAAGCTTACAGATTTCTTTAGAACTTAAAAATAAATGAAAGTATGAACAATATTACTACTAGATATTTTAGTAATTACATATATGTGGAAGGAGGACTTTTTGTTTGGAAATGAGAATGCAAAGGGCTTCTGAGAGTGCTGACATTGTTCTGTATCTTGAACTGGCAAGTGGTTACACAGGTGTTCAATTCATAATACCTTGTTTCCTCGTGGTTATCTTGCCTATGGCTTTGTGTGTGTATGTGTTTTACATTTCACCATACAACATTTTTAAAAGTAAGATGCAGTATAGCAATTAATAAAAATAATATATGGTCATATATGTACCTATCTGTGGAATGATACACAATGAACTGAAAACTCCTTTATACTAGAGAGAGGACAGAGTACATATTTGAAGAATGGGGGTTGGAAATAAAATCATCCCACATTATAAATGTTTTTCTAATTTTATGCTAATGCTATTGCCATATATTAAGTACTTATAACTATGCAAAAATTAACTAAAACATAGACATAAGAAAAAGGCATATCTCAGTTATGCTAAAAATCTGAAATCTGGAGTTGCAATCCAAGCACGTATATTTTTCGAAATGCCCTTGAATATTCCTGACATAAGAATTCAGCAGGACTTGTTTCACAAGATACAAGTAACATAGACTGCACTGATAAAACAGGATGTGGTAAATAAGCTGGCCACAACCTTCTAAAACCAACATGGCAATAAAAGCAACCTCCGGTGGTCCTCAATGCTCATTATAATTAGAATACATTAGCATACCAAAGGAAACTCTCACCAGCCCCATGACAGTTTAAAAAGGCCATGACAATGTCCAGAAGTTACCCTATATCATCTGAAACGGTGAAGACCCCTCAGTTCCTAGAAGTCCCCACACCATCCCAGAATACTCACGAATAATTCACTCCCTGTTTAGCATATAATCAAAAAATAATAACCACATCTATGTGATAAACTCATGCTGCTACTCTGCCTGTGGGGTAGCCACCCTTTTATTCCTTTATTTTTCAATAAACTTGATTTCACTTTACTCTGCTGGCTTGCTCTTGAATTCTTTCCTCCATGAAGGCAAGGAACCATGTGGCCTCCCGAGCTGAGCTCCAATTTTGGGGTTTGCCCTGTGATATTCTGACTAGAATATTTGCAAGTCCAAAATTATCTATTTCTTTATATATATAATATATAAAATAGATATATTATCCATATTTATTACTTTGTCACCCCCGCGACGTTTCTTACCTTGATCTGTGCACAGAGTTACATGGTCACCATGGTGTGTAAAGATACTTTATGCCCGCATTGCTGAGAGTCCGGGATTATTCATCACACTGAGTGAGTCCCGATCCCTTACCCTGAGGCCATTACAACAAGACAGTGGGACGCATCTTTTCATGAGAGGGGATCAGAAACCCTTTCCCAGAGGAGAATAGGAATCCAAGACGAGCCCCCAAATTGTTGGAAAGAAGAGCTCAGAGGTGCAAAGAAAATGAGCACTCAAATAAAGGATTTCTCAGCAAGGCAAATTTACTTCTGCAGAAGGGTACTGCTTGCTCTTCTGGTCACTATAAGAGCACACAGAAAAAAGGAGGGACGGGGTTTTTATTCCTAATGCAGTCAGTCCCTGCTACTGTGTCCAGTCCCCATTGGCTGCAGTCAGACAGCACAATCTAAGCTGATCCCAATTGGCTACTTCCTATGGAGCAGGGGGCGGAGCTACAGCAGCGGGAAGGGCAGTTTCAGAACTAAGGGTGCAAAATAAGGAACAGATGTGGGTTGTTACAGATTGGGAATAGATACGGGTTAAAGATTGGGAATGGAAGTGGATTACAGATTGGGAATGGCTAGAATGTTGTTTACCGTAACTAGGGTCAAGCAGGCAAGGAAGTTAGGCTTTGAAAATAGAGGACAAAGAAAGGGAGTTGAACAAGCGGAACCTTTGAAGAGGAACTCACTGTATCCAACATGGTTCATTGCAGCTTCAACCTCCCAAGCTCAGCTGATCCTCTAATCTCCGCCTCCTGAGTAGTTGGGACTATGGGCGTGTGCCACCATGCGTGGCTATTCTTTTTTTTGTTTGTTTTTTAGAGACCATTTTATATGGCTTGGCTTTCTGTCCCCACCCAAATCTCATCTCAAATTGTAATCCCCAGGTGTTGAGGGAGAGATCTAACGGGAAGTAATTGGATCATAGGGCAGTTTCCCCCATGTTGCTCTCATGATAGTGAGTTCTCATGAGGTCTGTTGGTTTTATAATGGTCTCTTTCCCCTTCACCCTCTCTCTCCTGCTGCTTCGTAAAGAAGGTGCTTGCTTCCCCTTCTCCTTCTGTTGGCATAAGGAACTGTGAGTCAATTAAATCTTCTTCCTTTATAAATTACCCAGTCTCAGGAAAGTTCTTTATAGCAGTGTGAGAAGAGACATACCATGTCTTGCCAGGTTTCCCAGGCTGGTCTCAGACTCCTGGACCCAAGTGATCCACCCACCTTTGCCTCCCAAATTGCTGGGATAACAGATGTGACGCATGGTGCTCTGCCTAAATCTTTGCTTCATGTACATAAATATATGTGTGTCTTGACTCTGATTATCTCTTTTCAGCTTAATTATTAGAAAAGCTCTTGCTTATGTTTTTCCCTTCTCAGCAACCTGGAAGTCACCATATGTGTTTCCCAATGTCAGAAACCCTGATGATTATAGCTATTAGCCAAATGGGCTATATGCCCATTCATTAGTTAATTACTTAGATCAGAATGATGTGATTCATTAACAGTTTTATTAAGTTTGTACTATTTGCCAGATGCAAGCACTGATGAAATAAGCTATGAATAAATGTTATGGTAAAAATAGACAATAAAGTGGATTAACAAATACTGTGATTTGGAGAGATAAATGTGCCTTGTGGAAAATTAATGCAGTTAAGAAAGTTATAGAATAAGAGTTTGAGGAGTGATTGCTTCTTTAAGTAGTTAGCCTAAGAATATCTCTTCAAAAAGGTGACAATAAAACAAAAATCTTAGCAAACAGAATGTGTGAGATATGGCTGTGAAAATCAATAATTCTTCAGGGAGCTAGAACACTCTTTGCTAAACCTTATGTGAGGAATAATTATGCTGAATGGGCCCATTTCTATGTGCTTTGAATGAGTGGACATCTCATTCAGAGAATAATGGCCACTTCGGCCCAAGACCTATTATAAAAGTCTGACATGTATGTTATAATGTATTGTAAAAACCCACACACTTGTGAACACTTGATTTTTGACAAAGGTGCCAAAAACACAATGGAAAAAGAACACTGTCTTCAACAAATGTTGTTGGGAAAATTATATATCCATGTGCAGAAATATAGAATTGGATCCTTATTTCATACCATATACAAAAATCAACTCAATATGGATTTAAAACTTGAGTGTAAGACCTGAAACTGTAAAACCTCTAGAAGAAAACATACATAGGGGAGCTGCTCCACAGCATTGGTTTGGACAACGATTTCTTGCATATGGCACCTAAAGCACAGGTGACAAAGCAAAAAAAGAAAAAAAAGAATTGTTTCAAACTAAAAAGCTTCACATAGCAAAGACACAATATAGTGAAGAGACATCCCACAGGTTGGGAGAAAATGCAAACTACACTTTTTTAGGGGTTTATTATCCAAAATATATAAGAAACTCAAACAACTCAAAAGCAAGTAAACAAATAACCCAATCAAAAAATAGGCAAAGTACTTAAATAGACACTTCTCAAAAGAAGACATACAAATGACCATCAGATATATGAGAAAATGCTTCTCATCACTGATCATCAGGAAAACATAAAACCACAATGAGATATTGTCTCACAATTGTAATAATGGGTATTATCAAAAACATACAATATAACAAGTGTTGATGAAGGGGTGGAGTAAAAAAGACCCTTGTGCACTCTTGGTTGTGAAGTAAGCTAAACCATATGGCAATTCCTCAGAAAATTGGAAACAGTAGTACCATACAATCTCTATAACCAAAGGAATCGAAATCAGTACGTTGAAGAGATATCTGCATTCCTATATTCATTGCAGTGTTATTTACATTAGTTAAGAAATAAAGGAACAAAATTAAGGCAGAAATATATACATTCTTTGAAGTCAATGAGAACAAAGACACAATGTACCAGAATCTCTGGGATATAGCTGAAGCAGTGTTTAGAGGGAAATTTATAGCACTAAGTGCCCACATCAGAAACTGAGAAACATCTAAAATTCACACACTAACATCACAATTAAAAGAACTAGAGAAGCAAGTGCAAACAAATTCAAAATCTAGCAGAAGACAGGAAATAACTAAGATCAGAGCAGAACTGAAGGAGATGGAGACATGAAAAACCCTTCAAAAATCAATAAACACAGAAGCCGTTTTTTTGAGGAGATTAACAAAATAGAGCACTAGCCGGACTAATACAGAAGAAAAGAGAGAAGAATCAAACAGACACAATAAAAAATGATAAAGGGGATATCACCTCTGATCCCACAGAAATACAAATTGCCATCAGAGAATACTATAAATACCTCTATGCAAATAAACTAGAAAACCTAGAAGAAATGGATAAATTCCTGGACACATACACCCTCCCAAGACTAAACCAGGAAGAAGATGAGTTTCTGAATACACCAACAACAAGTCCTGATTGAGGCAGTAATTAATAGCCTACCAACCAAATAATAATAATAATAATAAAGCCCAGGACCAGACGGATTCAAAACCGAATTCTACCAGAGGTACAAAGAGGATCTGGTACCATTCCTTCTGAAACTAACCCAAACAATAGAAAAAGAGGGACTCATTCCTAACTCATTTTATGGGGTCAGCATCATCCTGATACCAAAACCTGGCAGAGACACAACAACAAAAAAAATTTTCATGCCAATATCCCTGATAAATCTCAATGTGAAAATTCACAGTAAAATACTGGCAAATCAAATCCAGCAGCACATCAAAAAGCGTATCCAACACAATCAAGTCGGCTTCATCCTGAGATGCAAGACTGGTTCAACATACAACAATCATTAATCATAATCTATCATATAAACAGAACCAGTGACAAAAACCAGATAATTATCTCAATGGATGCAGAAAGTTCAACACCCCTTCATGCTAAAAACATTCAATAAGCTAGGTATTGTTGCAACATTTCTCAAAATAATAAGAGCTATTTATGACAAATCCATGGCCAATATCATACTGAATGGGCAAATGCTGGAAGTATTCCCTTTGAAAACAGGCACAAGAAAAGGATGCCCTCTCTCACCACTCCTATTCAACATAGTCTTGAAGGTTCTGGTCAGGGCAATTAGGCAAGAGAAAGGAAGAAAGCGTATTCAAATAGGAAGAGAGGAAGTCAAACTGTCTCTGTTTGAAAATGACATGATTGTATATTTAGAAAACCCCATCATCTCACCCAAAAACTCCTTAGGGTGATAATCAACTTCAGCAAAGTTTCAGGATACAAAGTCAATGTGCAAAAATCACAAGCATTCCTATACACCAATAATAGACAAACAGAGCCAAATCATGAGTGAACTGCCATTCACAATTGCTACAAAGAGAATAAAGTACCTAGGAATCCAACTTACAAGGAATGTGAAGGACCTCTTCAAGGAGAACTACAAACCACTGTTCAAGGAATAAGAGAGAACACAAACAAATGGAAAAACATTCCATGTTCATAGATAGGAAGAATCAATATCATGAAAATGGCCATACTGCTCAAAGCAATGTATAGATTCAATGCTATTCCCATTAAGCTACCTTTGACTTTCTTCATAGAATTAGAAAAAAACTACTTTAAATTTCACATGGCACCAAAAAAGAGCCCGTATAGCCAAGACAATCCCAATCAAAAAGAACAAAGCTGGAGCATCATGCTACCTGACTTCAAACTATACAACAAGGCTACAGTAACTGAAACAGCATGGTGCTGGTACCAAAACAGATATATAGACCAATGGAACAGAACAGAGGCCTCAGAAACAACACCACATATCTACAACCATCTGATCTTTTACAAACCAGACAAAACAAGCAATGGGGAAAGGATTCTCTATTTAATAAATGGTGTTGGGAAAACAGTCTAGCCATATGCAGAAAACTGAAACTGGACCCCTTCCCTACTCTTTACAAAAAAATTAACCCAAGATGAATTAATGAGTGAAATATAAGACCCAAAACCATAAAAACCCTAGAAGAAAACGTAGGCAATACCATTCAGGACATAGGCATTGGCAAGGCTTCATGACTAAAACACCAAAAGCAATAACAACAAAAGCCAAAATTGACAAATGGGATCTAACTAAACTAAAGAGTTTCTGCACAGCAAAAGACACTGACATCAGAGTGAACAGACAACCTACAGAATGGGAGGAAAGTTTTGCAATCTATCCACCTGACAAAGGGCTAATATCCAGAATCTACAATGAACTTAAACAAATTTACAAGAAAAAAAAAGAGCCCATCAAAAAGTGGGCAAAGGATATGCACAGACACTTCTCAAAATAAGACATTTATGCAGCCAAAAAACATATAAAAAAAAGCTCATCATCATTGGTCACTAGAGAAATGCAAATCAAAACCACAAGGAGCTACCATCTCACACCAGTTAGAATGGCAATCATTAAGAAGTCAGGAAACAACAGATGCTGGAGATGATATGGAGAAATAGAAACACTTTTTCACTGTTGGTGGGAATTTAAATTAATTCAGCCATTGTGGAAGACAGTGTGGTGATTCCTCATGGATTTAGAACCAGAAATACCATTTGATCCGGCAATCCCATTCCTGGATATACACCCAAAGGATTATAAATCATTCTGTTATAAAGACACATGCACACGTATGCTTATTGCAGCACTATTTACAATAGGAAAGACTTGGAACCAACCCAAATGCCCATCAGTGATAGACTGTGTTGGGGAAAAGCTGAGTGTTGGGAAAAAAGCTGAGGCAGGGCTTGCATGTCTGACATAGTGTAAAAGAGTCTTGGAACATGTCCGGGGTCCGGGGTCTAAAACCCCTCATGGCCTTTGGTACACCAAACTCTGTGCCAAAGGGTGGAAGGCTGGCCTGCTGCACCACAATCTAAGCCCAGGGCATAAAACCCCTCATGGCTTGGATGGAATCCATAGCTCAGGGCATAAAACCCCTCGTGGCCTCTGGAATGTGTCTAGACTTACTGGCTCCTTGCTTCTAGCATTCCCAGGTTCAGAGATCAATTGTATCTGCAACGAGAAGAACATTTTTCCCATTATCTCAAGTAGCAGAACATGTTCCATATGCTGCAAAGAAAATGCTAAACCGTCACAGTTGTAGATCATGCACTTGATACACCACTTTCTTTCAACCCCCACATCCTCACCACCTGCTTCTTTGTTTGATCACCTATAAATAGTGCGGGCTTTCAGAGCCTGGGTCTTCACAGCCTTCAAACTAGCGTTGGCCCCGTGGTCCCACTTTATGTGCTCTTAACTTGTCTTGTCTCATTCCTTTGACTCCTCCGGACTTCATAGCCCCCACAGCCTGGTGTTGGGTCTGATCGCCCCAACAGACTGGATAAAGAACATGTGGCACATATATATCATGGAATACTATGCAACCATTAAAAAGAATGAGTTAATGTCTTTTTCAGGGACATGGATGAAGCTGAAAGACATTATCCTCAGCAAAGTAACACTGGAATAGAAAACCAAACACCACATGTTCTCACTCAAGTGGGAGTTGAACAATGTGAACACATGGACCCAGGGAGGGGAACATCATACACCAGCATCTGCCAGGGAGTGGTGGCAAGGGGAGGGATAGTATTAGGAGAAGTACCTAATACATGCGAGGCTTAAAACCTGGACAATGGGTTAATGGGTGCAGCAAACCACCATGGCACATGTATACATATGTAACAAACCTGCAGGTTCTGCACATGTATCCCAGAACTTAAAATAGAAAAAAAAAAACGAAAGGGGAATTTGGACAAAACAAATTTATAAAGGAACGTAGGTATCCATCTTCAGATTAATGGATAAAGAAAATGTAGTATGTATTCACAATGGGATGCTATTCAGCCCTCAAAAATGGGGGAATATTTTCATTTTTGACAGCATGGATCAACCCGAACAGCATAACACTAAGTCAGTAAGCTAGGCTCAAAAAAGACAAATACTAAGTGATCTCACCTACATGTGGAATCTAGAAAAGTTCAACTCATAGAAGTAGAGAGTAGAATGATGGTTACCAGAGGTATGGGGATAAGAATGGGTGGGAAAAGGATGTTGATCAAAGCATAGAAAGTTTTAGTTAGACAGGAGGAATAATTATTACTGATCTATTGTACAGAACGAAGCCTATAATAAATAATAGTGTGTTATATATTGCACAATTGCTTAAAGTTGATTTTAAAAGTTTTCACCATGCAAGAAAATAAGTATATGAAGTGTTGGGTTTGTTAATTAGCCTGATTTAATCATTTTACATTATCAACATATCTAAAACATCATATTGTATTCCATGAACACATACAATATTATTTGTTAATTCAAAATAAAATTAAAAAGATTTCTTGTGATAGGTTTTGGTCTGGGAGAAGTAGCAGAATATAATTTTTCAACTTCATTTTTCTGTCTTGGGCTAGGATCTTTCAGTTGAAAGAAATCAAAACCTCAATGTCATTGGACACTTCATGAAGATGTGTCAAGATAAGATCCCATTCCTGTTTCCCTCTGTGATTATGTCACTGATCTGTTCTTGGAATTGGAAGAGGAATCAAGAAAGAACAATAACATAAAAGTGTAGTATTTGGCCTCATGACAGGAACAGCTTATTTTATTTATTCACTTTAAAATGTTATTCATACATATTTGTGGAGTACAATGTGGTGTTTTGATGCTTGTATACACTATGTAATGCTCAAACCAGGATGATTAGCATATTCATCACCTTAAACATTCATCATTTCTTTGTGATGATAACATTCAAAAACCTCTCTTCTAGCTATTTTGAAATATGTAATACATTAACTCTAGTTATCCTCCTATGCCATAGAAAAATATGCCAAGAGAACAATGAGAGATGTAAATAATAATGGGTCTTTAGAGCCACCTAAGGTTTAATATCTCTCCAAGAATCAAACTAAACCTTGAAATAAAACAAATGACTCCTTTAAAAGCTCAGAGTTTCTCTTTGGAAGTATTGGCTGTTATATGGCCCATTTTGCCACGTGTTCAGATATTTTCCCAGAGTTCACACCAACCGACTCGCCAAGCAGCTCTGGATGTTAGTATTTGAGAAAATATTTCCCTGCAAGGCTTCTGCTACATTTAGAATAAAGTCCAGATTATTTGCCTTCACCTGGCCCTGAGAAGGCTCTGATCTATTCTCCTACTCCTCTCTGCTCACTGCCTTCTGCTGCGCTCCTGTCTCAGTCATTGGAGGGCTTTGTGGGTTTTATCCTTCAGGTTTACATGGCCAGCCCCTTCATCATGTCAGAGGGGCCTGATGACTCCATGTGATAAATCATTTGCTACTTTTCTGCCTGAATTCATCACTGCCCAGCCTGACCAGATAGTGTGTACTAATGTTTTTATGGCTCACACCAGCATGGGGGCTCCACAGGGTAAAAGACTATACCTGCTTGTCCATCATTTTACCTGATGTAACAAGAACCATATCACATAGGAAGGGTTTGATACATCCCTTAAATTAATTAATAATTAATTTATTTATTATTTAATTAAATTAATTAATAATTAATTTATTTATTATTTAATTAAATTATTAATAATTATTTTATTTATTATTTAATTAAATTATTAATAATTATTTTATTTATTATTTAATTAAATTAATTAAAATTAAATTAGTTTTAATTAATTAATACATACCTTAAATTAATTAATAAGGTATGCATTGAACCCTTCCTATATGATATGGTTCTTGTTAATTAAGGTGAATGAACTTCAGCAGCCTTCCAATTACTTTTGCTTGGAGAAATTTTTCCAAATGCCTTGTCTTGCAGAAAATCTGGAGGCTATTTTTTTTAGCTTGCTGTTTTCCTTTCACAACTGTGGTTTGTTGTTTTTGTACAAAGATTGATCAATGTGTTTAATTTCTGCAGAATATACTAGGACATATTATACTTTATACTAAATAAGGATTTACTGCATTGGTGATTGTTTAACATCAAAGTAACGGTAGAATCTCCAAAAAAAATCAAAACCAAACCACAAAAATTAATTTTAGTGGTCATACTCAGAGCAGAAAAAATTATACATTTTTTTTAATTCAAGGAGAAAACCCTGATACTAGTGGAAAAAATGAGTGAGATACATCGCAGACTGAGGAATCTGCCTCCCGGAATGAGCGACAACCCATTTGAAGAAGTAAAAGGAAATTCTAAGTAATGATCTGTTAACTACTATCTGCTTATATTTTCCCCTGGATCTGTAATGTGGCATGAACACTAGTTCCTTAAACTTGCATTGCATACCAATAAACATAAATAAATTACCACAAAAAAATGTCCCCATCATTGCATGCCATAGCACTCCATTCTGTGGGGACCTCCAGGCCAAAATGATGAGGGTCTTGTTCAGAGACTGGGTGACATGAATCAAAGCCTGATTCAAAGAAAACTGGCTTCTAAGTTGTGTTCTTCCCTTCCCAGCTCTCTGACCTAAGACATTTTTCTTGTTTGTTTGTTTTGCCTCACCAAGCCTCAAAGTGCTCACTCAACATGGAATAAATATCGGAATCATAGTGTTGTAGTGCAGGTTAAGTTATGTATGTGGGAAAAGCATTTACAATTAGTAAATATTTGTTAGCCTTATAATCCTAATTATTATAATTTTTAAAATATTCTATGAGCTTCAATTTAAAATAAGACAGACATAGATGTGAATAAGTGTTAATAAAATGTGATCATAAGCAGGAGTAGAAGTGTGGGGGAAAGAGATATCAGCTGTGCACAAGAAGAGATGGGATGTCAATTTTGAGTTATGTTTACTGATTATGTGGGATTCAGATTGATAGTCATAAGCTATGTAAATCAGAACTTTCCAGAAGTGAGACATGGTCTGTGATAAGGTTCAGATGGGCAAGGAAATAGAGGGCTATGGAGAAAGGCAGGAGGTCTAGAGTGACTGTGGTACTGAGTGTAAGTGATAGAAACAGGTAAAGGGAGACATAATGCATGCTTTAAAAGCATGGGGATATAAGTTTCATGTTCCAAAATTTAGATAATCCAACAGGAATCATAGATTATAGAATGACAAGATCAAATGTATGTTTAGGGAAATAACTCAAATGGCAATGAGTACACTATATTCTCAGTAAGAACTGGACTCAAGAGATGAAAACACTTAAGGCAGTAAGAAACTAGAAAAAGATATTGGGAGCTTGAATTTGGGCAGTAAATAAAAGGGATATATTAATACAAGTCTCAATTTTTTTTCCACAAAAATCAGAACCCCTCTATAACTCCAACTATTGATAGACTTGAAGTCACTTAAGTGAATTAGTAAAACAACCATAGTAAAACTTTTGTTAAACACAACTTTCCATATAGCAACATAGGATTTCATCCTGTGCAAAGTCATATACATATTTTACACATCAAAGCTGAAGCCTGAGGTCCCAGTTTCCGTTTTATATTTTGCATGCTGTCTCTACCCTGTCACTGTCTCTGTGCCTTTATATAAATAATTTCTTTAAGTACAACTTTGATAAAGTTATTTATATAAAGATTTTATTAATTTTTATGTATACATAAATGTGGGTTCTTTTATATTCATATTCAAGTTATTTTATCTCAGTATCTTTATGAAATCAGCAAAATCATAAGTCAGATAAGCTCTCCCTGAATAGTTTTATTAAAGGAGTTAGGATAAACTGGACTTCAAATGTTAATTACAATAAATGTGCATATGCTAAAAATGAGCCAACAGATAAAGAAACACATAAACACTACCTTAGCATGTGCATTTTACTTGTTAATTTTCAGTTCATCAGCAATATTGTATATAACAAAAATATGTTTGTATACACCATACATGCACATACACATGCATATATAACTTCTGAAACTATTGATTGGGGATGCTCTAAGAATGTGCTGTCCAACACTATAGACACTGACTACTGGGCACTTGAAATGTGTTTTGTCCAAGCTGCGCTGCACTCTATAAAACAAACACAAGACTTTGAAGACTTAGAATGCAAACAGAGTAAAAGGCAACATTAACAAATTTGTGTTATTACATGAAGAAATTCTATGTCAATATACAAGAATAAACATTATCACGTTAATAGTAATATATGTACAAACATGTACTATAATATATTGCATATAATTTATTGAAATAGTATGCTATGTAATTAACATCAATATTGTTAATATTAATATTAATTATAACATTGTTTTGAATTAAATATATTATTTAAATTTATTTGACTGCTTAAATGTACCTATTAGAAAATTTTAAATTATGTTGTATTTCTATTGGACAACCCTGCTCTAGCGTGTTGGAATCAACTTGGAAAGAGGAAATACAAAGGGAGTGGGGATGGCCATGATTATTCTTTCAGGAAAGAGAATATCCCAAACACTCTCCTCATAGCCCCCAGGACTTCCTTATTCCTCAGGCTGTAGATAATGGGATTGAGCATGGGGGTAAGGATGGTGTAGAAGACTGCCAGGATCTTGTCTTCAGCTGGTGAGCGGAGATTCCTGGGCCGAAGATAGGTGTAGACAAAAGGTGCATAGTAAAAGATCACTACAGTTAAATGTGTTGAAATGGTGGTGAAGGCCTTTTTTCTCCCCTCCTTTGAGTGCATATGATAGACAGCAAATAGGACTCGGCCACAGGAAGAAGTGATGCCAATGAAAGGGAAAAGGAGAAAGAGGCTTGTACTTACAAAAACCATATATTCATAGACCCAAGTATCTGTACAGGCAAGAAGCAACATGGCTGGGACATCGCAGAAGAAATGGTCAATAGCCCTAGACCTGCAGTAGGGAATATGAAGGGCAAAGACTGTGTGTGCCAAGGAGTTGATGGACCCCAGTGTCCAAGAGCCTCCAATCATCTTCACACACATCATTTTACTCATGCGGATAGGATAATAGAGAGAGTGGCAGATGGCCAAATAACGGTCGTAGGCCATGGAGGTCAGGAGTAAGCCTTCAGAACACGCCATGGTCAGGAAGAAGAAGCTTTGCACACCACATCCCAGGAAGGAGATGCCTTTCTGGCCGGACAGGAAGTTGTACGCCATCTTGGGGACGGTGGTGGAGATGTACATCAGGTCCATAAGGGAGAGCTGGCTGAGAAGAAAGTACATCGGTGTGTGGAGACGAGGATCCACGTGGATGAGGTGAATCATGGCCGAGTTACCCACCGAGGCCAGAAAGAATATGAGGATGATAAGGCACAAGAGAAATATTCCAGTTTGATTTGGGGGAAGCAGACCCAACAAAATGAAATCATTTGAAGTGTGATTCCATTTCTCCATGAAAACTTTCTGCTGTAACTGTTGAAAGAGAAATAGAAACAAAAGCAAAGCACAAAACATGAAATAAAACACAATAGAAAAACAAAAAGGAACTGACTTTATCAATGTTTGTTTAGAATGAGTTGTTTCTCCACTAACACTGCAGGTTTTTTTTAATCAATTTCTATATCTGAAGCATATGGAGATTAGAGAGGATATTCACTTTCTGTTCTTATAGTTTGATTTTCATTACTGTAGATGACAGCAGAGTCAAGCAGCTACAAATCTATTCAACTGGAAAAGCCAGTGTGAGCAGTAGAACAATTGTAATTTATGGCTTAAGCATGTCTTCCAATTTAATTAGATAGAACAACACAATTAAATGTTAATAATTGAGAATAAAGAAATCAAGCAAACAAAAATAAATAATTTTCCCTCCCTGGAAAGTTTGTCTAGCTTTTTATGCCTAGGCTTTTCCTTGGGAATTTTTATTTATGACTTTTAGAATCTCTCTTTTTCTCTTTACACCACCCCAAATCTGGCAGTTTGTTTTTTTCTTCATGCAGTTTCCCAGGTATTCGTAAACTATATTTCTAACATCTGTGTGACTTCTTCCTTTACCTGGGCTTGGAGTGAGAGGTCATGTTTTGTGTGTGCTCTTCTGTCTGAGGCAGACACTGATGTCTCATCCTGCCCAGCATATTGATTTGGTTAGTCATCTTGGGTTACTGATTTTTCAACTTTTGCTGTTCAAAAGCAAATCATAGTTTGTTGCAATTATTCACATTTAGGAACTTAAACTCAACTGTTAGTTCATATAACCTTGGGTAGCATGAATACAATTGTGAAAGAGAGCCTGCCACAGGAAAAAAAATGGAAATTCATTTCTATAGCTGTCTAAGGAATAAACACTAACAATGAAAAGTTGGGAACATGACAGGTGCACAGTAGCATTGGACTTGGATGCCAAATGGGATCACAGGCACTCTCTGCTTCTTATAGTGCTTTAGAAATAAAAACTGATCAGAAAAAAACATGAAAACCATCATTATGATACATTCATTTCCTCAAATAGTGTTCACTGAATTTATGTTTTATGACAGTGCTGCTAGCTACTGATGTGCTTTGGTGATGAAACACAAAGGATTTTAGAATATGTAATTAAAATTGAGATAATTATACAAACAATAGACCAACAAACTCAAACATACAGTGATGTTATGTAGTGATTACGATTCTATAGAAAAATAAAAAAGCAGAGAGATCATTGGATTAAACAAAGGAATTCAAAAAGTATTCCAAACGACTTTTCTAATTTCCAGGGTATGTATGATAAAGATTGATTTTGTAACTCATGTGGCTTCATTCTATCAGTAAGAACTATCCTAGTAATTTAGTTCCAAGCAAATATTTGATTAATTTTATCAGATTAACATGTTGACAGCCTTTGATGCAGTAGTCACTGAGTGAGGCAGTGGGGATAGAATGATTCATCAGGTGCTGTCCCATCCCCAAGTGGGCGACCAACTGTCCTGATGTGCCCAGGCCTTAGGGGATGCCCAACATGTCCTGGAAATTGGAAAAGCCTTTTGTAGTGCTTTCTGAATTCCTTTGTTTAATCCAGGTTTAAATCCAGGGGAAGAAAGCTGCCAGCATGATCCCATGAGGTGTATCCAATACCGAGCCCTGAACAAGCTGACTTGGGTGTAGGTTTATGTGTTCCATCCTGGAGTTGTTTTGAAGAGAGACATTTTGATTCTTTGTTGCATAGACTATAGCTCAGAGTATTATAAAGATTGTTTTATGGCAGTTACTACAATAATGATTTTGTTTCCAAAAATGGAAAAGTGGCATGTTGTTAGGCAATGGAAGAGAATAGTTACTTTTAGGATCCTGTGAATCTGGGACTTGGAGATTTTAGGTCATGGGATATTGGAGTTTGAGTTTAGGATCTATTTCCATTGATGTCCAGCAGCTTTCCTTGTTAGACATGGGACCTTATTTCATGCACCAGAATTACATGAAGCATCATTCTGTCGGTTACCTTATAGCTGGGAAAATGTTGTTCCTGTGGCTATCAGGTGAGTGTGAGATTAGTGACTGCCTTGGCCATCCTTGTTGACTTAAAGAACGACACTAAGGCAAAATTAATACAGAAAGTTTATTTGGGCCAAGGTTGAGGGCTGCAGCCCAGAAACACTTCTGTGGCAAGTAACCTGGAGAACAAGAAGAGACCCAAGTTTTTAAGGTAAAGAAAGGGAGGAATCAGGAGTGGAGACAAATTCTAAAGTTATTTATCAGCAAGTCTCACTGGTTTCAGAAACAACATTGATCAGTGATTGGTTATGCATTATTTAACTATAGGATATGTGGTTTAGGGGATTGATAGGTTAATTCATGGTTAGTTGCCACAAGTCAGTCCAGAGCCCCCATAGCACGTAGATTCAAGAGATGATTACCTAGCTCAAGAAAGAGTGAGATGTGACTGCGGCCACATTTCAATCTTGCTGGGCCTGATAATTTAAAGGGGGCTACTTATTCCTCAGATAAAAAGTTTATTTTCTTTCTCATTCTAAAAGATACGTTGCTGAAATTTATAGAGTTAAAAAACACCTCATTTCACAGAAACTAACAATGTAAGTGTAGCAAGTGTAGGGTCCTGAATTTATTTTGCAAAATTACAATTAGTGAATGCTTCTTAAAACTCTTTTAAACAATCAGCAGGAGACCAATAGCAAATAGTCATAGACTCAGCTCCCTCAATCTCAACAACGTATAGGACAACTATAAAGAGAATTCACAGTTCTGTGTGTTCAGCACATAGTAGGTCCTTAGTAATTGTCACTGTCCTTTGCCCATTCCCTGTGTTAACCATGGAGAGCCCTCACGCCCTGAGAAAATGTTTTTATTAATGTCACATTGTTTGAGAGCTGCACATAGTGCAACTCTAACAAGTTCATGTTACCTTTTTTTACATTTTTAGTTCACTCTTGGTTTTCATTTTTTTTTTTTTTGAGACAGAGTCTCACTGTGTCGCCCAGGCTGGAGTGCAGTGGCCTGATCTTGGCTCACTGCAAGCTCCGCCTCCCGGGTTCACGCCCTTCTCCTGCCTCAGCCTCCCCAGTAGCTGGGACTACAGGCGCCCACCACCACGCCCGGCTAATTTTTATTTTTGTATTTTCAGTAGAGACCGGGTTTCACTGTGTTAGCCAGGATGGTCTCGATCTCCTGACCTCGTGATCTGCCCACCTCGGCCTCCCAAAGTGCTGGGATTACAGGCATGAGCCACCTGGGTGCCCAGCCTTCTTTTTCAATTTGTTATGGAACTGTCTATTCCCTGTGCAGCAGAGAGTTTCCTGATGATAGGAAAACATTTCCAAAAAAGCTTTCTAGGATAAAGCCGACCCAAATCAACTCAATTCAGTTATATTACTATGACTCACTTTGCCCGAAGTTCTTCAGTTTATATAGTGGTATAAAAAGCAGTTTTATGGCCAGGCGCAGTGGCTCAGGTCTGTAAGCCCAGCACTTTGGGAGGCCAAGGCGGGCGGATCACGAGGTCAGGAGTTCGGGACCAGCCTGACCAATATGGTGACACCCCATCTCTACTAAAAACACAAAAATTAGCCAGGCGTGGTGGCATGCGCCTGTGATCCCATCCACTCGGGAGGCTGAGGCAGAAGAATCACTTGAACCTGGGAGGCAGAAGTTGCAGTGAGCTGAGATCGTGACCCTGCACTCCAGCCTGGGTGACATAGTGAGACTCCATCTCAAAAAAAAAAAAAAAAAGCAGCAGCTTTACAGTGACATCATAATCTGCAAACATTCCATATAATTATTTAAAACATGTAAGCATCAAACTATGTTCTGATAGTATATCAGGCTATCAATAACATTATATCACTGATCAATAGGCTCTGCATTAAACCAAAACTCTTTCTGAAGTGAGAATCTCTTCTTTATCTGCCAAAATTCATGAGGAAGAAACACCAGGTAACACTTTATAATATTCATTCCTTACAGCTCCCACAGCTAGTCATTGTCTTTATGGTGAAATCAGAAAACAACTTCACCAGCTCTTGTGAAATATTATCCTGTTTGCATATGCAGTGTTTAGATAAAGTCTCTTCCTTTCCTCTTACCTTGTTTCAGTGAGAACAGAATAAGGCATTTTACACTGAAGTCTCTCAGGTTCCACCATTGGAAGACAGAAGGATGAATGGCTATATTTTACACACAGAACCTTAAGTCACCAACCCTTAGATATTCCTCTTTCTCCTCTAATTGATCTCCAGTGTCCAAGTCCACGGGGGCCAAAACCTTGGTCACTTCACTTGACTTTGCTGATTTGGGGATGAACTCAAATTCTGAACTTAAAGCAAATCAACCAACCCAATCAACTTTGCTGCATTCAGCTGCTACCCAGAATCAGACTAAAGAGGGGTGTATTTAATATTCCAGTACATGATTTCAGAGCTATAGAAGATGTTAAATTATGTTTATGGAAATTCTGTCATCATGTAAGTTAGAGAATTCCGGATTAAAAAAGTGCAGGAACCACTTACAAGTACTCGACTCAGTAATAGCAGAACTAGTCCCAAGGATAGTTTCCTGTCCACTCTTTAGTGAGTTTCCAGGGGGAATGATTGATGATTGTGACTAAATTAAATTATACTAGGATAAAACACTTCCTTCTACTTGTTAGGTGGGGGTAGATAATTGATACATGACAATATATATCCATTTAGCTATTCTACTAAAGTGAAAGCTGACTCTTAGAGACAATGTGATAAAATGAGCATTTAGAGTCAGAGAGAATACTCTAGTCTGACAGCTATGCCACTAATTAGGAAGCTGAGTTGGGAAAATTACTTAAGATTTCAGCCTGTTACTAATCTTTACAACTGGACTAATTTGAGGGACATTCTAATAATTAAATAGAATGATGTATGCCAAATGTTTACATAGTGTCTGTTGCAGAGGAAGGGCTCAATCAACTGTAGCATCTCTTAACCTCTTTAATCCATACATTGGTTAACTAGAAAAGAACACTTTATTTGGGGTTATATTGTTCTTTTTTTATCTTTGAAGGCACTAACTGCTATATTTTATGTCAGAAATTAGAAATAATGCTATAAAATTAATATCCATGTTCTTTGTTTTTTTCCTTTAATTTTTTAGAATTATTATGATTATCTAATGGTTGCATATATTCATGAGGTACATGTGATGTTTCAATACAGGCATTCAATGTGTAATGAGCAAATAAGGGTATTTGGGGTACCTATTACCTCAAGCATTTATTAATTTTTTCTGTTAGAAATGTTCCAATTCCACTTTTAGTTATTTTGAAATATACAATAAATTATTGTTAACTATAGTCATCCTGTTGTGCTACTACATTCTAAGTCTTATTCATCCTAACTGTATTTTTGAGCCCATTAATCATCTCCAGTTTATTCCCCACTCTACTCTACTCTGCCGAGCCTCTGGTAACAGTCATTCTACTATATTTATTATTTTTTAATTTTAGCTCCCACATATGAGCAAGAATGCTCAAAGTTTGTCTTTCTGTGCCTGGCTTATTTCATGTAATATAATGGATAATGAAAATTTACTAGATACATAGAACACTATTCAACCATAAAAAAAAATAAGAGTGAATTCCTTTCATTTGCAACAACATGGATGGAACCGGAACTAAAGTAATGCTGGATTCTTGAATTATCTTGGCACCCTTTGTCCTAGGAGATGATGAGATGAGACTCAATAAATACTGGATGCAAATACGATGAAGTACGAAACTGGACAAAGCCATTCTAGTGCTTTAAATAAGAAGAGTGGACCAGTTATGATCACATACAGATTTTTTATTGCTCTTGTTAGTCTTTGGTAACTTCTATGTTTTTCCCTGCTGCAATGTGGTGCTGCTTGCATTTAACTCAGTGCAAAACTCAAACCCAGGTAAAACTCATTCTCAGCCTGTTACCGTCCCTGTAAGATCCATACACAGCAATGAAACGTGACTTGAGGAAAGTCCAATATATGATGATGCATCTCACCTCAAATTTATGACAATACATCTCAGATTTATGAATACAAATCTCATGGCCCTTTTGCCACGTCACAGTATGTTCTTGTTCTCTGCAGACTTTCTCTGAAAAGTAGTGATCCATGCCTCCTCCTGCTTTCCCCAAACCTTACCCCACTTCCACATCTCTTAGACTCCTCTGGGAAAAATAAACAAACCTGTTAATAAAACAATCAGATTTCAAACTTTTCTTCCATGAACTGTATCAGCCTCCCTCATTCTGTACCATATACTCAGCCTTGTTTCCTGTGACAGCGTATGAAATGACCGTGCTCCTGCCTAAACCCACTCTCTACTTTTGCACAAGGCTCAGCCCCTCTCAGCATCTCCTTTTTACATTTCCATTTCCATCTTCATCTGCACAGAAACATAAATTCTTTAGAGGAAAATATGGCTGTCAAAGATTCAATCATACTCCTTGGAGGCTCTGACCAAAGATTGAGCATCTTTTTCTTTCTGCAGAGATGGAAGTTACTCATTAACAAGTTGGAGCGGTGATGGATATTATAGACAAGGGGTTTCAGTAGGTGCGATCAATTAAAAAAAATCCAGGATGTAATGAATTACTCTGTGATGGTGTCTCCATGAAGCCTGGGAGCTTATAATGAGTTTAGAGATTCTTTACAATTTCTTAGTGACAATAAAGTTTTGGTTTAACCAGTGTAACCCTTCTAAGAAGACTGTGAGGCAGGTATAATTTGTGAAAGTCTGTTTTATAGACCAGAATGTGGTGTACTTTGATGAGTGTGTATTCTAATGTTGTTGAATGGAGTAGTCCACAGATGTGAAATAGATCCAGTTGGTTGATGGTGCTGTTCAGTTATATTCTTACTGTTTTCCTGCCTCTGGATGTATCAGTTACTAACAGAGGGGTGCTGAATATCCAACTTTAATTGCAGATTTATGTATTTCTCTTTTGTTGTCCTATATGTTTTTGCCTCATCTATTTTGACATTATGTTGTTAGGTACATACACATTAAGTATTAATATGTATTATGTAGGAAGTCTTAGCCAGAGCAATTAGGCAAGAGTGAAAAATGAAAAGCATTTAAACAGGAAGGAAGGAAGTCAACATATCTCTCTTTATAGATGATACCATTCTATATCTGGAAAACCCCATAGTCTCTGTCCAAAAGCTCCCTGATTTGATAAATAACTTCAGCAAAGTTTCAGCATACAAAATCAATGTACAAAAGTCAGTGTCATTTCTATACACCAATAGCAGCCAAGGTAAGAGCCAAATCAGGAGCTCAATCCTATTCACTATGGCCATGAAAAGAATACAGCTAATGACGGTGGTGAAAGATCTCTACAATGAGAAATATAAAATGCTGATCAAAGGAATTGGAGAGACACCAACAAATAGAAAAACTTTCCATGTTCATGGATAGGAAGAATCAATATTCTTAAAATGGCCATACTGCCCAAAGCAATTTACAGATTCAATGCTATTCCTAGGTCAAACTATCAATGACATTCCTCACAGGATTAGAGAAAACAATTTTAAAATTCATATGGAATAAAAATAAATAAATAAAACCCAAATAGCCAAGACAATCCTAAGCCAAAAGAACAAAGCTGGAGACATCGCATTACTTGACTTCAAACTATACTACAAGGCTACAATAATCAAAACAGCATGTTAATGGTACAATGACAGATGCATAGACCAACGGAACAGAATGGAGAGCCCAGAAATAATGCCGTACACCGAGAGCCATCTGATTTTCAACGAAGCCAACAAAAATAATCAATGGGGAAATGACTTCCTGTTCAATAAATGGTGCTGGGATAACTAGCTAGTCAAATGCAGAAGATTGTAACTGGAACCCTTTTTACATCACATACACAAATCAACTTCAGATGGATTAAAGACTTCAACATAAAACCTAAACTCTAAGTACTCTGAAAAATAACTTAGGAAATGTCATTCTGGACATAGGACCTGGCAAAGATTTTACAATGAAGATACTAAAATTGATTTTAACAAAAACATAAATTAACAAGTGGAACCTAATTAAATTAAAGAGCTCTTGCATAGCAAAATAAACTATCAAAAGAATAAACAGACAAACTACAGAATGGGATAAAATATTTGCAAATATACATGCAACAAAAGTTTACTATCCAAAATCTATAAAGAAATTTAAACAAATCAAGCAGAAAACAAACAGCTCCATTAAAAAGTGGGCAAAGAATATTAGTAGACTCTTTTCAAAAGATGACATCCATGTTGCCAATAAGCATATGAAAAAGTACTCAACATTACTAATCATTAGAGAAATGCATATCAAAACCACAATGAGATACCATCTCATAACCAGTCAGAATGGGTATTACTAAAAAAATCTAAAAATAACAAAAGGTGAGGATGCAGAGAAAAGGGAACGCTTATACACTACTGGTGCAAATGTAAATTAGTTCAACTATTGTGGAAAGCAGCTTTGTGATTTCTCAAAGAACTTAAAACTGAACTACCATTCAAGCCACCCATCTCAATATTACTTGCATACCCAAAGGAGTATACATTGTTCTACAATAAAGTAACCTGCACATGTATGTTCATCACAGCACTATTCACAATAGCGAAGACATGGAATCAACCTACATGCCCATCAATAGTAGATTGGATAAAGAAAACGTAGTACATATACACCACGAAATACTATGCAGCCACAAAAAGACTGAGATAATGTCCTTTGCAGCAACATGGATGAAGTGGAGGCCATTAGCCTAAGCAAACCAACCAAGGAACTACAAGCCAAAAACTGCATGTTTTCATTATAAGTGGGAGCTAAACATTAAGTACACATGGACACACAGACAGGAACAACAGACACCGGGGCCTACTTGAGGGTGGAAGGTGAGAGACAATGAGAAACCACCTACTGGGTACTATGCTTATTACCTGCATGACAAAATAATCTGTACATGAAACCTCTGTGACCTACAATTTACCTGTATGACAAATTTGCACATATACCCCAAAAACTAGAAATTAAAAAACATACTAAACGAAAGGGTTCAGGGAGCTTCTGTGTTAGCAAACACATTTACATACCCTGAGAGTGGCACACCCCAAGTCCACAGAGATGTTACCAAACGAAACTCAAGTCAGCCTGCCTGATACAGCAAAGTCAAATGCTGACATGGGGATTGCAGCAAGAGAAAGGGAGGAATTTATTACAGGGGGGCAAGCAAGGAGAAGTGAGCAGCTAATGCTTAAGACCTGAACTCTCTGATGGATGGCTACAGGTAAGTTTTTAAAGGGAGGGAGGAAGAGGTTACAGGAAAAGTCATAAATCAATATATGGAGGTTATACATGGGTTTAACCTGAAAAAATGGGACATCTCAAAGTGGGGGGCCCACACATCATAGGGAGATTCAAAAATTTTCTGATTTGTGATTGGTTAAGGAAGTAAAGCTTTGTCTAAAAAATTAGAGTCAGCAGAAAACAATGTTAACTCTCATCCATGGGTGTGACTTCCTCCAGGACCTTCAGGAAGAAATTCAGAAGAAAACATGGTTGTCCGAGCTCTGTCCTCAGTTCCTCCTTATCTGAGGTCTATGTGCCAGTAGAGCTATTTAGTGGGATTCCAAGTTTCTGAAAAACAACTCAGGGACAAATGTTAAGCTGTTATCTCTAGTTTTTATAAAGGAACTAAGTACCCTGTGATTTTAACTTCCTTGGCTATTGCATTAGGCTATAATTATCTTCTTGCTTATGAAGTTGCTCATTTATTTCTCAGGACTAGCTAGGTGCCTGGAATTTCCCCGAAGGAACTTAAGCTTTTCCTTTATCTCTGCACTTGGAGGAACTTACAGGTCACTAAGAGGGCTCCCTGCTCCATCTCAAGCCCCATGACTCAACTTCTGGGGAGGTGGGGGCTGGAGATTGAGTTAATTACCAACAGCCACATTAATGCCTATATAATGAAGCCACCATAAAACCCATAATGACAGGGTTCAGGGAGCTTCTGAGTTGGCAAACACATTTCCTTGCCCAGAGGGTGGCACAGGAGCTCCTGTGCTTGGGACCCTTCCGGAGCTTCCCAGATGTACCTCTTCATTTGATTCTTCATTTGCGTCCTTTATAATAAACTATAATAGCAAGGGTAGCATTTTCCTCATTTCCATGCTTCGTTCCAGCCAGTTATATAACCTGAAGCAGAGTAGTTGTGAGATCCTCCAAGTTTGTATCCAAATCAGGTAGAGGTAACCTGGATATCCCCTACTTGAGACTGGCATCTGAAGAGAAGGCAGTCTTGTGGGATTGACTCCATCAGCATCTGGAGTCTGATGCTCCAGACTCCGGTCAGTGTCAGGATTAAATTGAATAGTAAGACACCTAGTTGGTGTGAGAGTTGGAGAAGCGGTATTGGAAAAGACACTGTGAATTTGATTTCAAAAAAAAAATTCATTATTTTTGTTTTGTTTTCCATTAGTATAAAACTGGTTGATATCTAATATGGCATGGACAGAAGTTCTTTACATGTCTACTTGACAAAACAACTTCACAGATTCTGGGCTGTAATTTATGGTAAATGGCAAATCAAACACAGAAGCATTCACCCAGAGCACTAAATAGTCTTTGAGCAGGACTATTAAACACCGAAAGAACAGGCTACCCTGCCCTTATCTTGTTTTAGATAACTTTTTACAATATGTAGGCCAGAATCAACTTTACTCTGCCTTGCAGGGATTGTTTTTTATTTCAGAACAATTACAATAATGACATCAATGAACATGGATGGAGAATATACTATGGGCCAGACACTCTCCCAGAACGTTTACCAATATTTTATTTATTCCTTCCTATAATGCTACAAAGTAAGCAATTTTATTATGCATCTTTTATAGGAAAGGAACATGAAGATCATTTTATCCAAAATCATGAAATGCGTAAGAAATAGAAGTGAGATTAAAAACAAAACACAAAAACATTTAAACATGTAAAGTTGGGAATTGATTAGTTTATAGGCTATCCAAGCATTGGGGCCCAGTTCAAAATAGTCGAAATTCACCTTCAGATTTTTTTTTTTATAAAAGGCAGTATTTCTCAAAGTGTAATTCCTAAGTATTCTGAGTGATTCAGATGTTCCTCAACCTTTAAGAACCACAAGTCTATGATTTGAACATTAAAGTTCTTCCGCTCTGCTACCTCGTGATAGTTAAATATAGGTATGGTATTTAAAACCATTAACATTGTTTACATTGCTATATTAATGTAAAAGTTCATAGAACAAACAGCTAACTAAAAGATTAAATAGCACGCGTGTAAATGTATGTAAAATGCTGAGCATATTCACTAGCATGTAGAAATGTTGAATAAATAAAATCTATTATTATTTTCATGATACAATTTCAGAAAATTTAAAAATTTATTTCAGGTAATTAAGTCACATATATTCAAGGATTATCAATGATCAGAATTCTAGACTTTCACTTCACTAATTCATTGTGCTTGCTATCCTTACAAGGGACATATCTGTTCACATTCCCATTCAGAGTGTTTTTGCTTTTAGCAAAACTTGGGTGCTAAATTTGTTCATTACATTCATTTACCCTTAGGAAATACTTTAATCTGTATTCCCTTGCCAAAGATGATATACCTTTCCAAGTGGCATAGCTCCAGGGAAGATATTTGGTTGTTAGAAACTTTCAGTGACCACAGAGGATTTTTAACTAAATAGAGCAAAAAGCACAAAGCAGTAGCCACAATACTGAGGTTAAGCAAACATTTGTACTCAACCCATCAGAAAGATTCAGTCCCATATATATGTCACACTGGCTGTGATTCTCTACTGCAAAGGTGAGTCAATTTGTTTGATAATTATTTTTCTTTAATTTTAGGTAGTAATTTCAAATTACTCGTATTTATTATGTATTCAGCATTTTATATATGAATTTTGAATTGCAAAGTAACCTTTGTAAAGTTGCAGGCACAAATCACACAAATTAAATGTTGTCCTGTCATCCACAGGGTGTTTTGAAAATGTAAGATGCAGTCTGTGTCTACCCAGAAACACCAATTCAAAAATTCTTGAATAAAGCAGTTAATTAGGTCAAATGATTGAATTTGTATTAGAAGATTTTTTTTTTTACTGAAGAGTATGGCTGTTTCAATAATTTCTCCATGTTATATCAATAGCTTGTGGACATAGAGACACTGCCTTTGTGGAGGGTAGGATGCCAGAAAGAAGAGAGAAGGAGATTGTTGAGTGGAACTCTAATGTTCCAGAACAGTGATCTGTGTGTGTTTTCAAGTAAGCATGAAGGTGGGGAAGGGGACGATAATCAGTTTACCTACCAGCTTCAGAAAGGGCATGGCTTTGACACTAATAGACACAACATTCCTCAGCTATTTCTAAATAAAGTGCCTAGAAGAGCTAAGAAAGACAAATAGAAATAAATATAAATATATATAATAGAAATGTATATATAAGTGTATGTGGAAAAATAAATAAAAAGATATATATTTTATACATAAAAATACAAAAGTATTAAAATGTTTTATTTAAATCCAGGTATCCTATTTAATAGCTTAGAATTAATATCAGCCCACAAATTGCCTTAAAGAAGAAATATTTATCAGCATTTGTTCACATTCTTATAATTTGCTGAGTTAATATAGCCTTTAAATGAGAGATAAATATTCCACTTAACAAATAAATATAGCTGTATATTTAAAACACCAAAAAATCCTTTATTCAAAAATGATAATTAGTAAAAACAATCAAGCTGCAATACCTCCGTATACCTGAAAGAAGAATTAATACAGTTAAACTAACTTTTCTATTAAATTATCTGACCGATACAATGTGCTGAAAAGTCTCATCTATAACCATATTATACATCATAATTTTTCACAGCTTAGCATAATACAGGTTTATTTATTTTTGTTACATTTGAATGTTAAAGAAAAGAGCAATGGTTCCAAATTAAAGCGATATTTACTCTTTGCCTCCACCTGTAGAGAAGAGAATTCAATTCTGAAAAAGTATAACCACTCAGAATGAAAAAGTATAACCATTTAGAAAGTCTAAGAATTTTCAAATCTTAGACTTTCACCATCATGTCAACATAGTATTCAGCTCACTAATCTAATTAATATTTTATGCTGTGATTTTTAAGCTTCTGAATATATGAAAAAATGGCAACATAAAATGATCTAAACTAAAAAATTAAATTAAAAATAAAAATTTTGTGTCAATATGCACTATGGCTTAAAAAACTATTTTCAAACTCTGATATGCAAAACTCATGTAATTTTTTTTTAGTAATCTTTTTAGAAAGTTCAATGCTAGACTGTGGCCTGTTAGGACCTGGCCTGCACAGGAGGTAAGCAGCAGGTGAACAAGCATTACCCATTGAGTTCTGCCTCCGTCAGATCAGCAGCAGCATTAGGTTCTCATAGGAGTGTGAGCCCTATTGTGAACTGCACGTGTGAGGGATCTAGATCGCATGCTCCTTATGAGAATCTAATGCCTGATGATCCAAGGTGAAACAGTATCATCCCAAAAGCATCCCCTCTCCCACAACCCCCATTGGTAGAAAAGTTTGGGGACCACTGGTTTAAAACATTTAAGTAAACAAAACAAAACAGAAATGTTATATAACTTTCTCCTTATAATGTAAAATGACAGAAATGATTCTTTTTTTCCCATGCTTTCATGTTTACTTTTTTTCTTAGCACAAATACAAGTTATGTAACTTTGCAGGTAGAATATGTTATTTCACATACTTCCTAAAATCATGACACATACTAGCAGTGGTACACCTACTATAATCTGGAAAAAGATAACTAGACAGTAGTGATTTTTTTTTTTTTTTTGGTGCTTCTCTGCACACATTTTTTTATTTTATTATTTTATTTTATTTTATTATTTTATTTTATTTTATTATTTTATTTGAGTCCTGGGATACATGTGCCAAACGTGCAGGTTTGTTACATAAGTATACCAGGGCGATGGTGGTTTGGACAGTAGTGATTTTTTGAGATGGACTTTTTAATGCCATGTCGAGTGCTTTTTTATCCATGAGTTCTGCATTAATAAAATGAGTCTGAGGGTGGTTTAAAGTTATAATGGAGGCAGTGGAGGTCTGCAGTCAAGGAGTCAGTGGGCTGTGGCAATCACATGAGAAAGATACTTTAAACAGTATGTAAAATAAGGGGAGTGCATACACTATATGGGAAGACAGTAATGCAACCGACAAGGCTTGGCACAGGCTTGATTAGGTAGAATCTTTGCCTATTTTGCCTGTTTTATTGTCCTATAATCTCTGTTTATTTCCCTGATGGCATGACAGAATCTTTGATGTTGGTAAATGCTGGAAGAGAATAGCAGTAACTATAATGAGTAAGTAGTACTTGGAGTAAGTATAGGACAGGAAACAACTTAAAAATGAAGTGTTATTAGTCACAGACAAGGTATCATCTCAAAGATGCTAGTGTTACTGTGTGTTTGTGGCTGCTCACATCTGAATGCTCACATGCTGGATGTAGTAATTTAATGAGTCCTTGGCACTGCCTTTCTGGAGGTCCCTGAATGAGACCATCTGTGTCTGAGATGAAGTCTAAAATATTCAAACCATGACATTTGTGAATTTTCTATGAAAAAAAAGAGGGAAGTTAGCTCGTTATTCAGATGATAAAAGCCTCTTCCTTCTCTATTTTTCCATTTGCACCATCACACCAGGGGAAATTATGGAGATGAGAAATACTACCCCAGACTTTATTCTCCTGGGACTCTTTAACCACACCAGAGCCCACCAAGTCCTCTTCATGATGGTTCTGAGTATCGTTTTGACCTCCCTGTTTGGCAATTCCCTCATGATTCTCCTGATTCACCGGGACCGGCCGGCTCCACACGCCCATGTACTTCCTCCTGAGCCAACTCTCCCTCATGGACGTGATGCTGGTTTCCACCACTGTGCCCAAAATGGCGGCTGACTACTTGACCGGAAATAAGGCCATCTCCCGCGCTGGCTGTGGTGTGCAGATCTTCTTCCTCCCCACACTGGGTGGTGGAGAGTGCTTCCTCTTAGCAGCCATGGCCTATGACCGCTATGCGGCTGTCTGCCACCCACTCCGATATCCCACTCTCATGAGCTGGCAGCTGTGCCTGAGGATGACCATGTCGTCCTGGCTCCTGGGTGCAGCTGACGGGCTCCTGCAGGCTGTTGCTACCCTGAGCTTCCCATATTGCGGTGCACACGAGATCGATCACTTCTTCTGCGAGGCCCCCGTGCTGGTGCGTTTGGCTTGTGCTGACACTTCAGTCTTCGAAAACGCCATGTACATCTGCTGTGTGTTAATGCTCCTGGTCCCCTTTTCCCTCATCCTGTCCTCCTATGGTCTCATCCTCGCTGCTGTTCTGCACATGCGCTCTACAGAAGCCCGCAAGAAGGCCTTCGCCACCTGCTCTTCACATGTGGCTGTGGTGGGACTCTTTTATGGAGCTGCCATTTTTACCTATATGAGACCCAAATCCCACAGGTCCACTAACCACGACAAGGTTGTGTCAGCCTTCTATAGTATGTTCACCCCTTTACTAAACCCCCTCATCTACAGTGTGAGGAACAGTGAGGTCAAGGAAGCCCTGAAACGGTGGCTGGGGACATGTGTAAACCTGAAACACCAGCAAAATGAGGCCCACAGGTCAAGATGATCTAGTGTCAAATGACTCTAAGTTCCTGAATTTATCAACATTTTAACACATTGTAATTCTCTCCCTTTAGTAGTTCATGAACAGAAAATTAAGTTTGTGCATTGATATAATAAGATATTTTTAAGAATGAAGTGAGCTAATTGTATTGAGAGATACCATTTTTGAGCATTTATGTGCTTTTCTTCAAGTGAAGTAAAATCTATATATTACTTTGTATCCTAAAACAACCCCATGATATAAGTACTGTTGACAATATATCCTACTTTCTAAAAAAAGAAATTAACAATGGAAAGTTAAATATTGTTTCCAATTTCACATAGCGTGGAAATATTAAAAAGTGACTCCAGAGCTTGTACCATAACCTGGAAAAGTTTATTTCTGTTCAATAACGTATTTTGAGTGTTATTTCCTATGTGTATGCTCTATGATTAAAAACTAAATATGAGGACTCCACCAAAGACAAATCACATTATTTTAAAATTATATTTTAAAATATAGTTGCATGAAAAAGGGGAGGTACACAACTCAAATGTAACTGCTATATTGTCACATTTCTTTTGTATTTATTCCACAGTCTGTTTTTATTTGGTGTTTAAAGGCAAACCTTTTTAAATTTATGTAATTTTTCATTTAAGCAATATTTATCTTTTCCCAGAGTCTCACTGTAATCACATTGGAAAATTGCTTTAAACTACAACTAAGTTCTCTTTTCTACACATGTTTTAAGGTTACCTTGACTTATGGACATAGATCCATGGATATGAACTCTGAATTGCATAATCATGCTGAATGTTAACAGTTACTAACAATGAGTTATCAAAGCTGAGTAACACTCAACAACCTTATACATAATTGAGTCACCTTACTTCTGCCAAGGCATAGGTGAGTAGAGATATTTCTAATGAAAAGTTTGGGACACCTTCTAAAGGTTTGGGGTTTGCAAAACAAAAAAAAGAAGACTATTTTATTTATAAAGACACAAGCTAGATAATGATGGCAGAAAGCTGTGGTTATCAAAGCCAAATTGCAATCAGAGACAGGCTATCACATTGTCTTAGAGAGTTTTATGATAAAGGCTATATTTCCTGTACGTAAAACACACTTAAGAAATAATATGTTTTTTTCTTTTTTTTTATTATACTTTAAGTTTTAGGGTACATGTGCACATTGTGCAGGTTAGTTACATATGTATACATGTGCCATGCTGGTGCGCTGCACCCACTAACTCGTCATCTAGCATTAGGTATATCTCCCAATGCTATCCTCCCCCCTCCCCCCACCCCCCACCCCACCACAGTCCCCAGAGTGTGATATTCCCCTTCCTGTGTCCATGTGATCTCATTGTTCAATTCCCACCTATGAGTGAGAATATGTGGTGTTTGGTTTTTTGTTCTTGCAATAGTTTACTGAGAATGATGATTTCCAATTTCATCCATGTCCCTACAAAGGACATGAACTCATCATTTTTTATGGCTGCATAGTATTCCATGGTGTATATATGCCACATTTTCTTAATCCAGTCTATCATTGTTGGACATTTGGGTTGGTTTCAAGTCTTTGCTATTGTGAATAATGCCGCAATAAACATACGTGTGCATGTGTCTTTATAGCAGCATGATTTATTTAAACACACAATGGGAAATAACTAAAAGCTTCCAGGGACAATGTATCTTCAATATAAGTGTCTGAAAGTTAACCCGCCATTTCAGACCATCCTGAATTTCAAAAGGGGCTTGTTTTAGAACAAATGAGAGGAGTTTCCTGCTTCATATAGAGCTTCAGTTTCCAAAGCAGTAATATATTTAAGATAGTACCTTAACCAGTGCATGTAAATCCTGAGCCCATGTCTCAAGAGAAGGTTATTCAGTAAACACTTGTCTCCCTGAAAGAGTTGAGGATGACAGGAGATAGCATCATTTGTTTAAGACTAAAAGTTTGCTACTCTTTTTAATTATCTCCTTACCCAGTGTTAGGGTGAGAAAGGAACAGAACTGCATAAATTCTGTCATTTATACCATCTAAAAAATCTTCTCTTAGAATGAATGAAAATTACACAAGTACATGTTGTCGCGGAAATTTCATTACTCATACCAGGTTCATTCACCATCAGAGAAATTATTTTAAAACATATTGAGCTAAAAAATGGTAAATGAGGCCTATAAAATTTTGGAAGAATAAAAAATTCTAACCAGAAAATTAAGCCTAATATACAGGCGAAAGCTACAGCAACGACGACAACAACAAAAACGGAATGAACTTTATCTCCAAGCAAATGTAAGACATTAATAAAAATGCACAAAATACCTATAAAAATAGAAATATGTTTCAAAGAAGTGGTATTTCAGACTTGTTATCTGACCACAATGAAATTAAATATAAAATAAAAATTTTAAATAATTTTAGAAATATGTTCATTTCTTATTGCATTTTCAATTTGCAGATGTTTCTACTCTTAATTTCTTAATAAAGGTTTGCATAGAAAATCTTCAAAATCTTCAAAATCTTCAAAATGGTGGGTTAGCTTTCAGACACTTATATTGAAGATACATTGTCCCTGGAAGCTTTTAGTGATTTCCCATTGTGTGTTTAAAAATGAGCTGATATGGTTCTCATGAATCTCTAAGTTAAAGAAGGAGTACCTGATAGAGACAGATTATACAAGCCCATGAATGGTAGAAACAAAATTTCGAATGAGGAGTTACTTTGAATATACGAAGTTCTAGCACCCAGAAACAAACACTGTTGTTGGGAGTGTAAAGTAGTTCAACCAGTGTGAAGACAGTGTGGTGATTCCTCAAGGATCTAGGACCAGAAATACTATTTGACCCAGCAATCCCATTCCTGGGTATATACACAAAGGATTAGAAACCATTCTACTATAAAGACACATGCACACGTATGTTTATTGCAGCTATTCCCAATAGCAAAGACTTGAATCCAACACAAATGCCCATCAGTGATAGACTGGCTAAAGAAAATGTGCCCCATATACACCACAAAGACTATACAGCCATTAGAAAGGATGAGTTTACGTCCTTTGCAGGGACATGGATGAAGCTGGAAACCATCATTCTCAGGAAACTAACACAGGAACAGAAAACCAAACACTGCATGTTCTCATTCATAAGTGGAAGTTGAAGAATGAGGACACATGGACACATGGAGGGGAACATCACACACCGGGGCCTCTTTGAGGTGGAGGTTTAGGGGAGGGATAGCATTAGGAGAAATACCTAATGTAGATGATGAGTTGATGGGTGCAGCAAACCACCATGTCACGTGTATTCCTATGCAACAAACCCGCTCATGTTCTGCTCATGTACCCCAGAACTTAAAGTATAATTCTAATAAATTAAAATAAATACCTAATGCAATGAAAAAAAGAATTCATTCATCTTCAAAGTGCAATTTATTTACATTAATACAGATTTATTTAATACAGTTAATGCAAATCTTAATTGTACAGCTTGATAATTTTTTTTACAGATGTAAAAAAAAATATGTATCTGTAACTACAACAAAGATCATCTAGTTCCCTTTATGTCTTCCTTTTGTCTCTTCCAAGTCGATACCTTCACAAAGGAAATCATTATTCTAACATATTGGTGGGGAGGGAGAGCTGACTCTTCTTGCTGATTTGTTAAGAATTCCTTGTGCATGTTGGATATCAATATTTTACCCAATATCTTCCAATGTGTGGCTTGCATCTTTATTCATAGTGGAGCTGTTTCATGAGCAGAAAGTTTTAGTTGCATGAAGATAAATTCATCAATCTTTTATTTTGTGGTTTTTCTTTTGGTCTTCTTTAAGAAATCTTGGCCTAATCCAAGTCATAAAGATAGTCTACTATGCTAACATTGTAATTCTTTTCCAATTAGTTTTTGCATATATGTTGTAGGATCATTACAAACTGACCCAGCATCATTTATTGAAAAGGCCTCAGTGACAGATTAGGTATTGTTATTAATTATGTATCTATGTGGGGCAATTAATAGACTGGCTATGTTTTACCCTTTGTCTATATTTCTATTACCGAACAGATACCACATTATATTAATTTCTGTAGCCTTATAAAACGTTTTGATATTAGGTAGAATAATCATCCTGTCTTGTTCTTTTTCTTTCTTTTTGTTTTCAAGTTTTCCTGTTTTTGATTCTTTTCATTCCTGTAGAAATTTTAGACTCTGCTTTCAATTTCACACACAAAAAATGCTGAAATTTTTAAATTCAGATTGCAGTAAGTATTTAGCTCAATTTAGGGAAAAATCATAACTTAAAGATAACTTTTTTGCTTTATTATTACAATTTTTGCATTGAATTTTTGTTGCCGTTATTTGTGTGTTGAATTTTAGGACATTAAAAAAAGTACAGAAAATTTCTGTATACCCTTCACCCAGCTTGTCCCAGTGTTACTATGTTATATAACCATAGTACATTATCAAACCCAGGAAATTCATTTTGGTAGAATACTATTAACTCATTCAAATTTCACCAGTTGTTATATGTATTGTGTGTGTGTGTTTGTAAAATTCAATGAAATTTTTATCACATGTGTAGATTTATGTAACCTTCGCCCCAATCAGGATACAGAACTGTTTTATTACCACAGAGAAACTTCCTCTTGTTATTCCTCAATAGTCAGTCACATCTTCTCCCCAAACCTCCTAACGTCTGGAGACCAATGATCTGTGCTATATCACTATAATTTCATCGCATAGATACAGATATAGATATAAAACATACATTATGTAAACTTCAGAGATTAACTTTTCTTTTTTTTACAAAGTACAATGCCCTTGAGCCCTATCCAAGTTATCATATGTGTCAATAATTTGTTCTTTTTATTTTCTGAATAGCATTCTAGTGTCTAATTGTACCAAAGTTTGTTTATGCATTTGTATTGAAGAACATTTGTGTTGTTTACAGATTTTGCTATTACAAGTGAAGGTCCATAGCTATGGACCTTCATGTACAGGTTTTTGAATGACTGTAAGTTTTTATTTCTCTAGGATAACGATCCAGGAACATTCGGTTGTAAAACGAATCACTGCCATCCTGGTGTGGTATAATAAATATATATTTAACTGCATAAAATACTGCCCCTTTTTTTTCCAAAACAGCTGTACTTAGTTTGTGTGTGTGTGTGTATGTGTGTGTGTGTGTGATGGAGTCTCGCTCTGTTGCCAGGCTGGAATACAATGGCGCGATCTCAGTTCACTGCAACTTCCGCCTCCTGGTTTCAAGTGATTCTCCTGCCTCAGCCTCCCGAGTAGCTGGGACTACGTCACCACGCCCAGCTAATTTTTGTATTTTTGGTAGACACGGGGTTTCATCATATTGCCGAGGATGATTTCGATCTCCTGACCTCGTGATCCACCCGCCTCAGCCTCCCAAAATGCTGGGATTACAGGTGTGAGGCACCGCGCCCAGCCAGCTGTACCATTTTTTATTCCTACTAGCAATTTTTGAAATACCCAATTGCATTGCATCTTATTTAGCACTTGGCACTACCAATAATTTTATTCTGATACGTATGTAGTTTATTTTATCACAGATTTAATTTTAATTATAAAAATATATTGGAAATCATTTTAGTATTTTTGTTTGTTTTGCTTATTTAGGTGTTTATCCTATTTGATAAGATGCCTCTTAATGTCTTTTATCATTTATTTTCACTGTTGACTTTTTGTGTTTTTTTATACATTCTAGAGAATAGGCCTTTGTCACATTTGTGATTTTCATATATTGACATATATTTCATTTGTGAGTTGTCTGTTTAACTCTTTTGCTCATAGTCTGATTGGATTTAGTTTTTATGTACTAATAAATATATAGTTACCTGCATATTCTCTACACAAGTCCTTTGACAGAGCTGTGATTGGCAAATATTTTCTTCTAATCTCCCTTTAACAGAAGTTTTTAATTTTCATGAAGTCGTACTTACACAGTTTTTCTTCATGGGTCATGTCTTTGCTGTCATGCCCAAGAATTATTTCCCTAACCCCAAGTCATAAAGATTTTCTTCTATGTCAAATGGATAAATTCCTGGACACATAGACTCTACCAAGACTAAACCAGAAAAGAAGGTGAATTTCTGAATAGACAAATAACAGGCTCTGAAATTGAGGCAATAATTAATAGCCTACACCAAAAAAAGTCCAGGACCAGACAGATTCACAGCCGAATTCTACCAGAGGTACAAAGAGGAGCTGGTACCATTCCTTCTGAAACTGTTCCAATCAATAGAAAAAGAGGGAATCCTCCCTAACTCATTTTATGAGGCCAACATCATCCTGATACCAAAGCCTGGCAGAGACACAACAAAAAAAGAGAATTTTAGACCAATATCCCTGATGAACATCAATACGAAAATCCTCAGTAAAATACTGGCAAACCGAATCCAGCAGCACATCAAAAAGCTTATCCACCATGATCAAGTGGGCTTCATCCCTGGGATGCAAGGCTGGTTCAATATACACAAATCAATAAATGTAATTTATCACATGAACAGAATCAATGACAAAAACCACATGATTATCTCAATAGATGCAGAAAAGGCCTTTGACAAAATTCAACAGTGCTTCATGCTAAACACTCTCAATAAACTAGGTATTGATGGGACGTATCTCAAAATAATCAGAGCAATTTATGACAAACCCACAGCCAATATCATATTGAATGGGCAAAATTGAAAGCATTCCCTTTGAAAACTGGCACAAGACAAGGATGCCCTCTCTCACCACTCCTATTCAACATAGTGTTGGAAATTCTGGCCAGGGCAATTAGGCAAGAGAAAGAAATAAAGGGTATGCAATTAGGAAATGAGGATGTCAAATTGTCCCTGTTTGCAGATAACATGAATGTATATTTAGTAAACCCCATCATCTCAGCCCAAAAACTCCTTAAGCTGATAAGCAACTTCAGCAAAGTCTCAGGATACAAAATCAATGTGCAAAAATCACAAGGATTCCTATACATCATTAACAGACAGAGAGCCAAATCATGAGTGAACTCCCATTCACAACTGCTACAAAGAGAATAAAATATCTAGGAATCCAACTTACAAGGGATATGAAGGACCTTTTCAAGGAGAACTACAAACCACTGCTCAATGAAATAAAAGAGGACAAAAACGAGTGGAAGAATATTCCATGCTCATGGATAGGAAGAATCAATACCATGAAAATGGCCATACTGCCCAATGTAATTTATACATTCAATGCCATCCCCATCAAGCTACCAATGACTTCCTTCACAGAACTGTAAAAAACTACTTTAAAGTTCATATGGAACCAAAAAGAGCCCACATTGCCAAGACAATCCTAAGCAAAAAGAACAAAGCTGGAGGCATCACGCTACCTGACTTCAAATTATACTACAAAGCTACAGTAACCAAAGCAGCACGGTACTGGTACCAAAACAGAATTATAGACCAATGGAACAGAATAGAGGTCTCAGAAATAATGCCATACATCTACAACCATCTGATCTTTGACAAATCTGAGAAAAACAAGAAATGGGGAAAGGATTCCCTATTTAAAAATGGTGCTGGGAAACTGGCTAGCCATCTGTAGAAAGCTGAAACTGGATCCCTCCCTTAGATCTTATATAAAAATTAATTCAAGATGGATTAAAGACTTAAATGTTAGACCTAAAACCATAAAAACCCTAGAAGAAAACCTAGGCAATACCATTCAGGACATAGGCAAGGGCAAGGGCGTCATGACTAAAACACCAAAAGCAATGGCAACAAAAGCCAAAATTGACAAATGGGATCTAATTAAAGAGATTCTGCATGGCAAAATAAACCACCATCAAAGTGAACAGGTAACCTACAGAATGGGAGAAAATTTTTGCAATCTACCCATCTGACAAAGGGCTAATATCCAGAATATACAAAGAACTCAAACAAATTTACAAGAGAAAAACAAACAACCTCATCAAAAATTGGGCAAAGGATATGAACAGACACTTCTCAAAAGAAGACATCTATGCAGCCAAAAGACAAATGAAAAAATGCTCATCATCACTGGTCATCAGAGAAATGCAAATCAAAACCACAATGAGATACCATCTCACGCCAGTTAGAATGGCAATCATTAAAAAGTCAGGAAACAACAGATGCTGGAGAGGATGTGGAGAAATAGGAACGCTTTTACATTGTTGGTGGGAGTGTAAATTAGTTCAACCATTGTGGAAGACAGTGTGGTGATTCCTCAAGGACCTAGAACTAGAATAACCATTTGACCCAGCAATCCCATTACTGGGTATATACCCAAAGGATTATAAATCATGCTACTATAAAGACACATGCACACATATGTTTATTGTGGCACTATTCACAACCAAAATGTCCATCAGTGATAGACTGCATTAAGAAAATGTGGCACATATACACCATGGAATACTATGCAGCCATAAAAAAGAATGAGTTCATGTCCTTTGCAGGGACATGGATGAAGCTGGAAACCATCATTCTCAGCAAACTATCACAAGGACAGAAAACCAAATACTGCATGTTCTCACTCATAGGTGGGAATTGAACGATGAGATCACTTGGACACAGGGTGGGGAACATCACACACTGGGGAATCTCAGGGGCTGGGGGTCTGGGGGAGGGACAGCATTAGGAGAAATACCTAATGTAAATGATGAGTTGATGGGTGCAGCAAACCAACATGGCACATGTATACCTATGTATCAAACCTGCACATTGTGCACATATACCCTAAACTTAAAGTGTAACCATAAAAAAAGAAGATTTTCGTCTATGTCTTCTAAGATTTTTATTTTTAACTTCAACTTGTATTTTAGATTCAAGGGGTACGTGTGCAGTTTTGTTAAATGGTATATTGCATAATGCTGAGCTTTGGGGTACAAATTCTGTCATCCAGGTAGTGAGCATACCACCCAATAGGTAATTTTTCTCCCCACATCTCCCTCTCCTTAACCTCTTTAGTAGTCTTCAGTGTCTTTTGTTACCATGCATGTGTCCTTCTGTACCAAGCATGTGTCCATGCTTGCACTTTTAAGTGAGACATTCACTATTTAGTGTTCTGTTCCTGCTCTCAGCTTGAACGTTGTTGGTGTATAGAAATGCTATTGATTTTTGTATGTTTATTTTGTATTCTGAAACTTTGCTGAAGTTGTTTATCAGTTCTAGAAGCCTTTTGGCTGTGTCTTTGGGGTTTTCTAGGTATAGAATCATATCGTCAATGAAGAAAGATAATTTGACTTTTTTTTTTTTTAACACATTTTACCTCTCCACCAGCAATGTTTGAGAGCTCGTATTACTCTCCATCATCACTAGCATTTGGCATTTCAATATTTTTAATTTTAACCCTTCTAGTGGTGGTATCTTCACGTCATTTTAAAATATGCCATTACCTAGAGAATAATCAAGTTCAGCACCTTCTAAGATGCTTACTGGTCATTGATATATGTTATTTTAAGAAAAGTATCTTTATATCTGTGGCCAAAATGTTTTTAATTTATTTTATTCAGTTTTAAATTTTTTATTTATTCTGGAGAAAAGTATTTTGTCAAACATGTGTACTGTAAATATTTTTCTTGCTTTTTGGCTAGCCTGATTATTATTTTAATGGTATATTTCACAGAACAGAGATTTAATTTTTTTAAGTCCGATATATAATTCCGTTTTATACAATTAGTGGGCTTTTCTTATGAGTTGTATCTACAAAAAAATTATATACTTCAAAAGTTAAAAGATGCCATCTTACTTTTTTAGAGCTTTATAGAGTTAATATTTATATTAGTCCATGTGTCAATGGAGAGAGATTTGTGGTTTTTAAGTGTATAATGTTTTAGTCAAAACATGTTATTTATCTACATATTAACTTTTCTATAATATTTATTTTTTTAACCATGCACTCTTTCATTAATGAAAGATCATCTACCTGATTTGTACCCACTAGCAAGCTAACATCCATGCTTCTTTTTTTTATTTTTATTTTTTATTTTTTTAATTCTTTTTTATTTTATTATTATTACACTTTAAGTTTTAGGGTATGTGTGCACAATGTGCAGGTTAGTTACATATGTATAAATGTGCCATGCTGGTGTGCTGCACCCATTAACTCATAATTTAGCATTAGGTATATCTCCTAATGCTATCCCTCCCCGCTCCCCCCACCCCACAACAGTCCTCAGAGTGTGATGTTCCCCTTCCTATGTCCATGTATTCTTAATGTTCAATTCCCACCTTTGAGTGAGAACATGTGGTATTTGGTTTTTTGTCCTTGCGATAGCTTACTGAGAAAGATGATTTCCAATTTCATCCATGTCCCTACAAAGGGCATAAACTCATCATTTTTTATGGCTGCATAGTATTCCATGGTGTATATGTGCCACATTTTCTTAATCCAGTCTATCATTGTTGGACATTTGGGTTGGTTGCAAGTCTTTGCTATTGTGAATAGTGACACAATAAACATACGTGTGCATGTGTCTTTATAGCAGCATGATTTATAGTCCTTTGGGTATATACCCAGTAATGGGATTGCTGGGTCAAATGGTATTTCTAGTTCTGGATCCCTGAGGAATCGCCACACTGACTTCCACAATGGTTGAACTAGTTTACAGTCCCACCAACAGTGTAAAAGTGTTCCTATTTCTCCACATCCTCTCCAGCACCTGTCGTTTCCTGACTTTTTAATGATTGCCATTCTAACTGGTGTGAGATGCTATCTCATTGTGGTTTTGATTTGCATTTCCCTGATGGCCAGTGATGGTGAGCATTTTTTCATGTGTTTTTTAGCTGCATAAACGTCTTCTTTTGAGAAATGTCTGTTCATGTGCTTTGCCCACTTTTTGATGGGGTTGTTTTTTTTTTCTTGTAAATTTGTTTGAGGTCTTGTAGGTTCTGGATATTAGCCCTTTGTCAGATGTGTAGGTTGCAAAAATTTTATCCCATTTTGTAGGTTGCCTGTTCACTCTGATGGTAGTTTCTTTTGCTGTGCAGAAGCTCTTTAGTTTAATTAGATCCCATTTGTCAATTTTGGCTTTTGCTGCCATTGCTTTTGGTGTTTTAGACATGAAGTCCTTGCCCATGCCTATGTCCTGAATGGTAATGCCTAGGTTTTCTTCTAGGGTTTTTATGGTTTTAGGTCTAACGTTTAAGTCTTTAATCCATCTTGAATTAATTTTTGTATAAGGTGTAAGGAAGGGATCCAGTTTCAGCTTTCTACATATGGCTATGGGTTTTCCCAGCACCATTTATTAAATAGGGAATCCTTTCCCCATTGCTTGTTTTTCTCAGGTTTGTCAAAGATCAGATAGCCATAGATATGCAGCGTTATTTCTGAGGACTCTGTTCTGTTCCATTGATCTATATTTCTGTTTTGGTACCAGTACCATGCTGTTTTGGTTACTGTAGCCTTGTAGTATAGTTTGAAGTCAGGTAGCGTGATGCCTCTAGCTTTGTTCTTTTGGCTTAGGATTGAGTTGGCAATGTGGGCTCTTTTCTGGTTCCATATGAACTTTAAAGTAGTTTTTTCCAATTCTGTGAAGAAAGTCATTGGTAGCTTGATGGGGATGGCATTGAATCTGTAAATTACCTTGGGCAGTATGGCCATTTTCACGATATTGATTCTTCCTACCCATGAGCATGGAATGTTCTTCCATTTCTTTGTATCCTCTTTTATTTCATTGAGCAGTGGTTTGTAGTTCTCCTTGAAGAGGTCCTTCACATCCCTTGTAAGCTGGATTCCTAGGTATTTTATTCTCTTTGAAGCAATTGTGAATGGGAGTTCACTCATGATTTGGCTCTCTGTTTGTCTGTTATTGGTGTATAAGAATGCTTGTGATTTTTGTACATTGATTTTGTATCCTGAGACTTTGCTGAAGTTGCTTATCAGCTTAAGGAGATTTTGGGCTGAGACAATGGGGTTTTCTAGATATACAATCATCTCGTCTGCAAACAGGGACAATTTGACTTCCTCTTTTCCTAATTGAATACCCTTTATTTCCTTGTCCTGCCTAATTGCCCTGGCCAGAACTTCCAACACTATGTTGAATAGGAGTGGTGAGAGAGGGAATCCCTGTCTTGTGCCAGTTTTCAAAGGGAATGCTTCCAGTTTTTGCCCATTCAGTATGATATTGGCTGTGGGTTTGTCATAGACAGCTCTTATTATTTTGAGATATGTCCCATCAATACCTAATTTATTGAGAGTTTTTAGCATGAAGAGTTGTTGAATTTTGTCAAAGGCCTTTTCTGCATCTATTGAGATAATCATGTGGTTTTTGTCTTTGGTTCTGTTTATATGCTGGATTACATTTATTGATTTGCATATATTGAAGCAGCCTTGCATCCCAGGGATGAAGCCCACTTGATCATGGTGGATAAGCTTTTTGATGTGCTGCTGGATTCGGTTTGCCAGTATTTTATTGAGGATTTTTGCATCAATGTTCATCAGGGATATTGGTCTAAAATTCTCTTTTTCGGTTGTGTCTCTGCCTGGCTTTGGTATCAGGATGATGTTGGCCTCATAAAATGAGTTAGGGAGGATTCCCTCTTTTTCTATTGATTGGAATAGTTTCAGAAGGAATGGTACCAGTTCCTCCTTGTACCTCTGGTAGAATTCGGCTGTGAATCCATCTGGTCCTGGACTCTTTTTGGTTGGTAAGCTATTGATTATTGCCACAATTTCAGAGCCTGTTATCAGTCTATTCAGAGATTCAACTTCTCCCTGGTTTAGTCTTGGGAGGGTGTATGTGTCGAGGAATTTATCCATTTCTTCTAGATTTTCTAGTCTATTTGCGTGGAGGTGTTTGCAGTATTCTCTGATGATAGTTTGTATTTCTGTGGGATCAGTGGTGATATCCACTTTATCATTTTTTATTGCGTCTATTTGATTCTTCTCTCTTTTCTTCTTTATTAGTCTTGCTAGTGGTCTATCAATTTTGTTGATCCTTTCAAAAAACCAGCTCCTGGATTCATTAATTTTTTGAAGGGTTTTTTGTGTCTCTATTTCCTTCAGTTCTGCTCTGATTTTAGTTATTTCTTGCCTTCTGCTAGCGTTTGAATCTGTTTGCTCTTGCTTCTCTAGTTTTTTTAATTGTGATGTTAGGGTGTCAATTTTAGGTCTTTCCTGCTTTCTCTTGTGGGCATTTAGTGCTATTAATTTCCCTCTACATACTGCTTTGAATGTGTCCCAGAGATTCTGGTATGTTGTGTCTTTGTTCTTGTTGTTTTCAAAGAACATCTTTATTTCTGCCTTCATTTCGTTATGTACCCAGTAGTCATTCAGGAGCAGGTTGTTCAGTTTCCATGTAGTTGAGTGGTTTTGAGTGAGTTTCTTAATCCTGAGTTCTAGTTTGATTGCACTGTGGTCTGAGAGACAGTTTGTTATAATTTCTGTTCTTTTACATTTGCTGAGGAGTGCTTTACTTCCAACTATGTGGTCAATTTTGGAATAGGCGTGTTGTGGTGCTGAAAAAAATGTATATTCTGTTGATTTGGGGTGGAGAGTTCTGTAGATGTCTATTAGGTCTGCTTGGTCCAGAGCTGAGTTCGATTCCTGGGTATCCTTGTTAACTTTCTGTCTCATTGATCTGTCTAATGTTGACAGTGGGGTGTTAAAGTCTCCCATTATTATTGTGTGGGAGTCTAAGTCTCTTTGTAGGTCACTCAGGACTTGCTTTATGAATCTGGGTGCTCCTGTATTGGGTGCATATATATTTAGGATAGTTAGCTCTTCTAGTTGAATTGATCCCTTTACCATTATGTGATGGCCTTCTTTGTCTCTTTTGATCTTTGTTGGTTTAAAGTCTGTTTTATCAGAGACTAGGATTGCAACCCCTGCCTTTTTTTGTTTTCCATTTCCCTGGTAGATCTTCCTCCGCCCTTTTATTTTGAGCCTATGTGTGTCTCTGCACATGAGATAGGTTTCCTGAATACAGCACACTGATGGGTCTTGACTCTTTATCCAATTTGCCAGTCTGTGTCTTTTAATTAGAGCATTTAGTCCATTTACATTTAAAGTTAATATTGTTATGTGTGAATCTGATCCTGTCATTATGATGTTAGCTGGTTATTTTGCTCGACAGTTGATGCGGTTTCTTCCTAGCATCGATGGTCTTTACAATTTGGCATGATTTTGCAGTGGCTAGTACCGGTTGTTCCTTTCCATGTTTAGTGCTACCTTCAGGAGCTCTTTTAGGTCAGGCCTGGTGGTGACAAAATCTCTCAGCATTTGCTTGTCTGTAAAGCATTTTATTTCTCCTTCACTTATGAAGCTTAGTTTGGCTGGATATGAAATTCTGGGTGGAAAATTCTTTTCTTTAAGAATGTTGAATATTGGCCCCCACTCTCTTCTGGCTTGAAGAGTTTCTGCTGAGAGATCCACTGTTAGGCTGATGGGCTTCCCTTTGTGGGTAACCCGACTTTTCTCTCTGGCTGCCCTTAACATTTTTTCCTTCATTTCAACTTTAGTGAATCTGACAATTATGTGTCTTGGAGTTGCTCTTCTCGAGGAGTATCTTTGTGGCGTTCTCTGTATTTCCTGAATCTGAATTTTGGCCTGCCTTGCTAGATTGGGGAAGTTCTCCTGGATAATATACTGCTGAGTGTTTTGCAACTTGGTTCCATTCTCCCCGTCACTTTCAGGTACACCAATCAGATGTAGATTTGGTCTTTTCACATAGTCCCATATTTCTTGGAGGCTTTGTTCATTTCTTTTTATTCTTTTTTCTCTAAACTTCCCTTCTCACTTCATTTCATTCATTTCATCTTCCATCACTGATACCCTTTCTTCCAGTTGATTGCATCGGCTCCTGAGGCTTCTGCATTCTTCATGTAGTTCTCGAGCCTTGGCTTTCAGCTCCATCAGCTCCTTTAAGGACTACTCTGTATTGGTTATTCTAGTTATACTTTCATCTACATTTTTTTCAAAGTTTTTAACTTCTTTGCCCTTGGTTTGAATTTCCTCCTGTAGCTCGGAGTAGTTTGATCGTCTGAAGGCTTCTTCTCTCGTCAAAGTCAGTCTCCGTCCAGCTTTGTTCCGTTGCTGGTGAGGAACTGTGTTCCTTTGGAGGAGGAGAGGTGCTCTGCTTTTTAGAGTTTCCAGTTTTTCTGCTCTGTTTTTTCCCCATCTTTGTCTTTGATGATGGTGATGTACAGATGGGTTTTTGATGTGGATGTCCTTTCTGTTTGTTAGTTTTCCTTCTAACAGACAGGACCCTCAGCTGCAGGTCTGTTGCAGTTTGCTAGAGGTCCACTCCAGACCCTGTTTGCCTGGGTACCAGCAGCAGTGGCTGCAGAACAGCGGATTTTCATGAACCGCGAATACTGCTGTCTGATCATTCCTCTGGAAATTTTGTCTCAGAGGAGTACCCGGCCGTGTGAGGTGTCAGTCTGCCCCTACTGGGGGGTGCCTCCCAGTTAGGCTGCTCAGGGGTCAGGGGTCAGGGACCCACTTGAGGAGGCAGTCTGCCCTTTCTCAGATCTCCAGCTGCGTGCTGGGAGAACCACTGCTCTCTTCAAAGCTGTCAGACAGGGACATTTAAGTCTTCAGAGGTTACTGCTGTCTTTTTGTTTGTCTGTGCCCTGCCCCCAGAGGTGGAGCCTACAGAGGCAAGCAGGCCTCCTTGAGCTGTGGTGGGCTCCACCCAGTTCGAGCTTCCCGCCTGCTTTGTTTACCTAAGCAAGCCTGGGCAATGGCGGGCGCCCCTCCCCCAGCCTCGCTGCCACCTTGCAGTTTGATCTCAGACTGCTGTGCTAGCAATCAGCGAGACTCTGTGGGCGTGGGACCCTCCGAGCCAGGTGTGGGATATAACCTCCTGGCGCGCCGTTTTTTAAGCCCGTCGGAAAAGCGCAGTATTCGGGTGGGAGTGGCCCGATTTTCCAGGTGCCGTCTGTCACCCCTTTCTTCGACTAGGAAAGGGAACTCCCTGACCCCTTGTGCTTCCTGAGTGAGGCAATGCCTTGCCCTGCTTCGGCTCGCACACGGTGCGCTGCACCCACTGTCCTGTGCCCACTGTCTGGCACTCCCTAGTGAGATGAACCCGGTACCTCAGATGGAAATGCAGAAATCACCCGTCTTCTGCATCGCTCACGCTGGGAGCTGTAGACTGGAGCTGTTCCTATTTGGCCATCTTGGCTGCCAGCCCTCATATTATTTAGCTATTAAAGAAAATTAATCTACAAAAAGAATAATATGAGCAAATAATTACACCAAATATTTTTATTATACTTAGGAGTTTTTCCTGGATTTTTAAAAAACATGCAACTATCTAGGAACAATTAAACTCAGCAATTCAGAGGAAGCCAATTAAAACTACCTGTGAAGATACAGTATAACTATGTTTCTAACAAATCAGTTTATTAGGGGGCTGAAAAGGTGTTTCAGTTGATAATATGTAAAAGTAGACAGTTCTGCTATAATATGATACTGAGATTTTCAATACACTTTATGCTGGTAAAACTGCACATTGAAAAGGTAAAATTTCTAGTGCAAATAGGGATAAACCATTCAAAACTTATGAGATGTTTAATCAGGAAATTAACTCTAACTTGTGATAAAATTAGTAGCCCTGCTGAATTACTTCTTGCACTTTAAATCAGTGTCACATAGCCAATGACTGCTCCCTGACATTAAGCCCTTCGTCTTCTCCTGGAATTAATGCTTTTTCCTGCAAATTGTAGATGCTTGTGATCATTTACTTTTAATAAAGTCTATTGAATCAGTATTTAGCATCTGATCCCTGGTAGCTATCTTCACTAGTTAAGTTTTAGCACCAGGGAAATATCTTTGCAACTATCTAATTGGCACTGCTAGCTTCACCAGACAGCTTACAATTATAGAATGCATAGAGGATACTGAAGGTAAATAACACACTACTTGTGGTAAAGACAAAATTTCTGAAATTTTAAGTTTCCTTAAAGAGGGAAAACCCTATCAAAAGTAAGGGCAGTGAATAGAGGGACTGAGGAAGACAAATGTATTTTAAAATATTTAGCAGATAAAATTAAAAGGATCATATGATTGAATTTGGTGGCAGTGAGACAAAATAGCTGAGATTAAGTCCCAAATGTCAAATTGACCTCAGTCCAACATGTGTGGTCCACGTATTCATCTTTGTATTCTCCTAAAATGCTCTAAGTACTAAGTATTCAGTGATTGATAAGATATTTCATCTGTAAAATAATTGCCTATTTTTTCTCCAGATTTTAAAGGCAAGTAAAAAAAAAGTTAGTAGTGGGGTTGAGGTAAATCTTACAAAAGGAAGACAATTATTACTTCTACAGAAACATGAGGGATCACCTCTACCTCACCCACTTTATATCCTCTGTGAGTTTTTTTGCCAAGGTCTAGGAAACAAATTGGTACAAGACAGATTAACGAGGGAAAAGCATATAAGTTTTATTCATTTTACATGTACATGGGAATCTTCACAAGAGTGTGAAGTCCAAATAAATGGTCAAAGCAAGATGCTTTTATAATTTTAGACAAAGAATGATAAGTTGCAGAAAAAATTACAGAAAAAAGAGAAACTGGCTCAAAGCCATACATTCCAAGGGAGTTACTAGGAGGTATATGGGGGTGTAAAGATAGTGAAAAATAAGGGTTAATTCTGGTAGTTTATTATTCAGACTGCATTCCTCCAGCTGTCAGGCTCTGGTGAAGGGCTATTTTCTATTCTGATACAGAGAGGGTACTGGAAGAGTATCAGAATGTACCAGAGATTCCTGGAAGAATCTTTAGAACTTGCTGCATGCTGAAAAGACAGGTGAGATAACCTTTTTCTCCAATGTTAACCAAAATTTCTCACATGTTTTCAGCTCAGACTAATAAACATGCTGACTCAGCATATTTGTGGATGGCATGTAATTCACTCCTTCACTCTACCCAACTATGTCACTATTGAACCACAGCTTGTTGTGATAAATCATCATTCTCAGTAAACTATCGCAAGGACAAAAAACCAAACACCGCATGTTCTCACTCATAGGTGGGAACTGAACAATGAGAACACATGGACACAGGAAGGGGAACATCACACATCGGGGACTGTGGTGGGGTGGGGGGAGGGGGGAGGGATAGCATTAGGAGATATACCTAATGCTAGATGACGAGTTAGTGGGTGCAGCGCACCAGCATGGCACATGTATACATATGTAACTAACCTGCACATTGTGCACATGTACCCTAAAACTTACAGTATAATAATAATAAATAAATAAATAAATGCAAAAAAAAAAGAAAGATACTCATCCTTCAAAATAGAATGAATACTCATGTCCCTTTCCATAAATCAAACTTTGCTAATTTAATACTTAAGAAATTTCTAAATGCACACTGTGTGGTATGAAATGCTAATAGATACCACATGCTGTAAAATTTGCATCTTCTAGCCTGAGGACATGAAAGAATTAAAGAATGACTGTGAAGTGAAAAATAACCACAGCGTAACATTTGGATGGAAAGAAAAATGGCTAAAACGAGGCACAATGAACAGTGAGCCAAGGACTCTGTGAGGTAATGAATTCATTAATTTCCCCAAGAGGAATTATTGTCCAACTTTCAAAATTATCAGGACTACATTCTCATAAACAATGTAGCAAATGACAGTATATTTGGATAATTTGACTTCTTTCTCCGTTGTTCTTCTTAATGACCACAAGGGGAAAGGAGTGGCCTCTGAGTACAGATACTATGTCAGTGGGGACGAGCTTATTGCTTTCCTGAGCCAGAACCTACAGGGGTAAACGAATTTTGAAGTCATTTCTGATAGCCTTGAAATGCTCAGCATTCATTGGTGACCTCTTTATCTCCATTCACAGAGACACTGGCATGAAAAATAGGATTACCATTGCCTATACAGGAATGTCAGTAGGTGGGACTTCAATGATGCCATTTACCAATAAGATAAAGGCATCCATATTGTTTTTCAGTAAACTAACTTCAGAGAGATGGAATGATTTCCCCAAAGCCGTGGTATGTCACAGAAAATCATACAGCTAGGTCTCCTGATTCCCTCCATGAATCACTACCTGGAATGGGTAAAGGGTCTGAACTGGGCACCACTGCTTAATTCAGTCTTCCCTCAGGCTTTTTCCAGTAATAACAACTAACAAAAACAGCAGGTATTGTGTCTTGGTCTATTCAAGCTTCTATGACAAAAATGTCTTAAACTGGGTAACCTATAAACAAGAGAAATGTATTTCTCAGAGTTGTGGAAGCTGGGAAGTTCTTTGTCTTAAGACAAAGTGACTGAAGATTCAGTGTCCTGAGAAGGCTTGCTTTCTGGTTCATAGACGATGGCTTCTACGACACCCTAGATGGCACCATCTGTTGTAACCTCACATGGTAGAAGGGACAAACAAGCTCCCCTGAGCCTCCTTTAGAAAGGCATTAATCTTATTCAAGAGGGTGCTATCCTCATGACCTAATCATTTCCCAAAAGGCCCCAACTCCTAATACTATGACATTGAGGGTTAAGATTTAAGCATATGGATTTTGGGAGGATAGCAACACCCAGACCATCTCACAATCCCACCACTATCCTAGACTGCATGATCTCATTCACTTCCTGCTCACTCTTCCCATCCTTCTCAGGACTGGCTTCGTGGACCTATGCACAAGGTCCTACACTCAAAGGGCTCCATGCATGGTTTCATGCTCCGCTGTTATCATTGGAATATTTAATAATTTCATCTCTGAGTAAGCATGTGACAGAAGAGCTGGACAGGTTGGCAGCATTAGCAAGCAGTTTTGGTCCAGTAGAAATGACTACACAAGGGGGCTAAGGCAACACCCACGTGGGGCAATTTGCCTGGCCTTCTCAGGCATGCACACACACACACACACACACACACACGCACACATCTTGTAATACTTCACAGCACCACAGGATTCCAAGGAGTGGCTTGGGTGTGGCTGGGCTCAGATTGGTGGTGATGACAGAAGCAGTGGCACAGGTGGCAGTTGGGTACAAATGTCCCTACCTGGGAAGAGAGGAGGTGCTCTCCCTGGCAGCAGCAAGTGACTCGTGATGGAAGGCCTATTTTCTCTCTGTCCCAAAGCCCCTCCCTGTTGTATTCATGGAATATGACCTAGCTGAGTGAATATCAGGACAGGAAATGCCAGGAAGCTAAGGCAGTAAACTTTGTTAGTAAATCATTACAAAATAAAAATACACACTGCTCATTGCAAAAAAGCACAACAAAGACATAGTCTGATTTATAAAACAAGTTCAAAATTTATGTTTTAACTGCTACAATATGGTAAAACAAATATCCACAGGCTTAGAAATAGAAATGACATTTAAAGAGCATTGCACTATGTAATACTTTACCGTTAACGGTAGTCATGGAAGAGAACACTAGAATGTATTTGTACAAATCACTGGTGAAAGAAAATGAAGAGGAATACAAATGAATGGAAAGAAATCCAATGCTCATGGATTGGAAGAATTAATATTATTTAAATAACCAAACTACAGATTCAATGCAATGTCTATCAAAATACCAATGACATTCTGCACATAAATAGTAAAAACCATTATTTAAGATTTGTATGGAACTATTAAAGAACCCAAATAGTCAAAGCACTGTAGAATAAAAAGAAAAAACTGGAGGCATGAGTACCAAACTTCAAACTATACTACAAACATGGAATAACCAAAACAGAATGGTACTGGCATAAAAACAGACACATAGAACAGTGAAACAGAACAGAGAACCCAGAAATAAATCCATATATCTACAGTGAACTGGTTCTTTTATTTTAATTACTATGGATACATAATAGTAATATATAATTGCGGAGTGTATGTGATGCTTTGATAAAGGCATACAATGCATAATGATCAAATCGGGTTAATCGGGGTAACCATCACCTCAAATATGGTTATTTCTTTGTGTTGGGAACATTCCAATTCCACTCTTTCAGTTATTCTTTAATACATACAATAAATTCTACAATAAATTATTGTTTACTATAGTTACTCTATTGTGCTATCAAATACTCTTATTCATTCTATCTAATTATATTTTTGCAACTATTAGCCATCCCCACTTTATCGTCCCTCCCCTGTACCCTTCCCACCCTCTGGTGACCATCAGTCTCTTCTCTATTTCCACTAGTTCAGTTTTTAAAAATTCTAGCTCTCGCATAGGAGTGAGAACAAGCAAAACCTTTCTGTGCAACTGATTTTTGACAACAGACCCAAGACTGTTCATTGGGAAAAAGACAGTGTCTTCAATATAAGGTGCTGGCAAAACTGGATATTTTTAAGCAGAAAAATGAAAATAAACTCCCAGTCATTACACTATATCCAAATCAACTCAAAACAGGTTAAAGACCTAAATGTAATCATTTTTATTACTGCTGGCATGTTCCAGTCCTTTTGTTGATCTAAAATATACCTAATGTTAAATCATTTCCTGGGATTCATTCCCCTATAAAGAACATAATCTTGTCATAGGCCATCCAGAGTGGTATCAGGACTTAAGAATCCCTGATGAGCTCTCTGCTAAACTGTGTAATGAGTTCCCTAAATTGAAAGAATGAGTAATTGGTACGTTAAGTGTCTAAGATAAGAAAGACAAAACATCTTACAGCTTTCAACTAGATACACCAAGTCAAGAGACTTATTTTTTGTTTTGTTTTAGACATAAACAAAAAAGTAAATTTAAAATTACTGGAAAATAAACTGACCATAAGGAAATTGTTATGCTGAGTGCCAACTTCAGTTAGACCAATTTCATTTCTATTTCTGCATGACCAAAAACAAAAATTCTCATTGACAACATATTAGTAAAAGTAGGTGCTTTCAAAATTTATGGAAACAATGCCATGAAGAAAAAAGGTTGTTTGGAGTTATATATACATATATATGTAAAACAATTTTGTCCAGAAATCAGTGATTTTTTTCTCTTACCTTGATTACTTTTAGCTCCTGAACTCTAGGATTGAAATAATATTTTAATTACTATACACTGCTGGATGGATGTGTATCTGAGTCCTGAGACCTTAGGTAGAAAATGTTTCTACATTTTCCCAGAGCAGATTCTCTGACTCACTCGTGTCAGGGCCCCCATCACCTCCTTGTTCCTCAGGCTATAGATGATGGGGTTGAGCATTGGAGTGAGGGTGGTGTAGAAGACAGCCAGAACCTTGTCCTCTGTTGGAGATCGCAGGGATCTTGGACGTAGATAAGTGTAGACAAAAGGTGCATAGTAGAAAGTTACTACAGTGAGGTGGGTGCTGCAGGTCAGGTAGGCTTTCTTCCTCCCTTCTGCAGATTTCATGTGGTAGACAGCAAGGAGAACCCGGCCATAGGAACATGAAATAGCAATGAAGGGAAACACGAGAAAGATGGTGGTGCTCAAAAACACTGTGCCCTCATAGACCCAGGTGTCCATGCAGGCCAGAGTCACCATTGCTGGGACATCACAGAAGAAATGATTGATGGCCCTGGATTGGCAATAAGGAATATGGAGTACATATACAGTGTGAGCACAAGCATTGATCGAGCCTATGATCCAAGACCCTGTTATCATCAGCACACACATTCTTTTGCTCATGCGGATGGGATAGTGAAGAGGAAAGCAAATAGCAATGTAACGATCATAGGCCATAGATGCCAAAAGTAGTGCTTCTGCACCTCCTAATGCCGAGAAGAAGAAACTCTGAATCCCACACCCAGTGAAGGAGATAGACTTGTTACCAGACAGAAAATCAGATGCCATCTTAGGAACAATGGTGGAGATGTAATTTAGGTCAATGAGGGAGAGCTGACTAAGTAGGAAATACATGGGTGTGTGGAGATGGGTGTCCAAGAAGATGAGAAGAATCATGGATAGGTTTCCAATTAGAGCCATTAGGAAAATGAAAACAATGAGGATGAAGAGGAAAAGGCCAATTCTTGATGGTGGGAAGAATCCTAATAAGATGAAATCAGTTGATGTTTGATTGTAATTTTCCATGGGGCATTCGTGTGCTCTTTCCTGAAGGGAGACACAAGGGTAAGTTAAGCACAGAAATTCGTCTTTATCTGCAGGGAATGCATTTGAAGCCCCTCAGTAAATTCTTGAGACTGGAGTTGACACTGAGCCCTATATACACTATTATTTTCTGTCCACACATACTTCTGATAAAGTTTAATTTTTAAATAAGACAAGTAAGAGATAAACAAGAGTAACTTATAATAAAATAGAATGAATATACAGTATACTATAATACAAATTATGTCAATATGGTCTCTATCTTTCTCTCTCAAAATGTTTTATTGTACTCAGCCTTCTTTGATCTGACTTCTTACCTATTTTGAAAGAGAAATCTTAATTTTTACCTAGAGTTTTACATTTGATGATACCAACATTTGTTACCAGATATTTTTCTGAGAAATATGTAAATTTATAAGAAAGATATCTCTATTACAACTTCAATAGAATAATGTTTTACTGCCTGACACTAATTCAGATATAATCAAAATCAGATGTTATATTGAATACATATGCATAGAAAGTCAGTATAAATGCATACATTTAGATTTATATTTGAAAAATTAGTATTATCTTTATAGGATGATCTATTATCTTTCCATATTTATACTTTTTTTTTTTTTGAGTGACAGGGTCTCTCTCTGTTACCCAGGTGGGAGTGAAGTGGCAATATCATAGCTCACTGCATCCTTGACATTCTGGCTCAAGCAATCCACCTGCCTCAGCCTCCTGAGTAGCTGAGACTACGACCACAAGCCACCATACCTAGTTAACTTTCTATTTTTGTAGACATGAAGTCTTGCTATGTTGCCAGGCTGGTTTTGAACTCTTGGCCTCACCAATCCTCCTGTCTTGGCCTTGCAAATGCTGGGAGTGCAGTCATGAGCTTCCCCACCCAACCCATGTTTATTCTGCCAGATTTACTTCTAAAACTGCAGCAGCCTCTCTGCTATTTTGAGAAACTTGAATGATGTTTGCACAATAATGCCAATTATCAATTATTTAGTCAGTTATCATTTTGTGGTTCATTTATTTAGAAATCCAGAAGGAATCCTTATTGCTATGTCCCTTTAACCAAAGTCATGTTAATTCACGCTCTTGATTTTCAATATTCATCATCATCCATTCTCTTTTGCCTCCTTGCCTAATTTCAAAATTCTCTAGTTAAAGCAGATGCCTTACCAAATAGGTTACACATTTTGTCTTTTCCTTCTCTAGTGCTTAGATAACATTACAGATTGCTTTATGGATCCTTCAAAAGAATGAATTTTGAGGAAAATTCAATCTCTTAAATAAAAAGGGAAACTAGAATTCTGACAAACTTCCGGGTAGAGGTGCGTTAGAAACTCTACTCCAGATAGAAGACATCAGAGAACAACTTTGCACAGTATGCCTAAAAGAACTGGAGTTTTTTAGGCTTAAATATTAGTCTAGAGCCAAATACCACCAGAATTTTGAGCTACTATAACCACGTATACAACTAACATTCACACAGCATGCAAACACACAGAAATATGCATAATCACACATGATCATACTCATAAATACACTGAGATTATAATGATTAAAAATGCAGAAAGAATGAATTGTTGTGATCAGAATTCATATCTTCAGAGATGTATGATATGTTACGAAATCTGTGAAATAAATATCATTTGCTATCTGAAAGGATGCAACAGGTAACATAAAGGACCTTTGAAAATTAAAAATATAATAATTGATAAAAAATATTAAGTGAAAGTTTCAAAAGGCAAAGTAAGAAAAATCTATTAGAAGGTAAACAAAAGCAACAACAATATGAAAAAATTGTAATTTAGGAAAGATAAAAAAAGTAGGGAAATCATATTGGAGGAACAATATGTGCTTAAGGACTTTCTTAGAAATGCATATAGCAAAATAATAATGAAGTTAATATTCTTTAAAAATTTTCTCTGAAATGAAATATATTAACCATCATATTCAAATGGCATGCAAATTCACAAAAATAAGTGAGAAATACTTTCCTGAAAAATATTATATAAAAATTCTATTTCCTCGGAAAAATTTCCTAAAAATTCTAAATATTACCCACAAGACAAATTCTAAAGCTTTTGAAATAAAAGTAATAAATATCAGAAGATATATATATATATAACCAGGTTTTACAATAGTTTATATTTTTTGTATTGTAGCAATAAATTCCATAAGATGAAATGATGTTGTCAACCCCTTGGTGCAGACATAAGGTGTAATGCAGTTCTGCTGTGACAATGGGAGAAGTGTAAGGAACCTGGGGGTGATGACGGAGGAGGGAGCAGTTACTATCCATGGGGGTCTGTATCATGGATCAAGGAATGATATTTGAGATATAGAAAATCAAGCATTATCAGATGAATGTATTGTCTGAAAATACATGGACAAATATGAGGGAAAACTGAAAAGATAATTTGAAGTCCTTGCCTTTGGGGTCAGCAAGAGTTTGTTATGTTTCTAACATTTTACCCTGTGGTCTGCTGAGACCATGTCTATGCATTTCTTTCATAAAACATTAAAGTGATGTAAAAATTATGTGACAGTTGGGATTTTAACCCACAGCTTCATCATAATAATGAAAGACTGGCAGCTTTGACTCTAAGATTTGCAACAAGACACGGAAGTCCACTTTCTCTGCATCTACTTAACACATTACTGCAAGTTCAGTCAAAACAATTAAACAAGAAAAGAAATAAAAATTATCTTATTTCAAAAGAAAGAACTAAAATTATTTCTGTTTGCATATGACATAATTATATATGTAGAAAACTTAGGATAAATAATAAATAAAATTAGCAAAATTACAGGATGCAACATCAACAACCAGAATCTGTTGTAATTCTATACACTAACAAAGAACAATCTGAAAACTACACTCTGATTTTATTTCCAATAGTAACAAAAAGAAATAAAACACTTAAGAATAAACCTAACCAAGGAGTTAAAAACTTTATACATTGAAAATGAGAAAATGCTGATTAGAGCTATTAAAGAAGACACGAATAAATGGAAATGCATCCTATATATTTATCAATTGGAAGGGTTAATACTGTTAAGATGTCAACAACAGCCAAAGTCACCCATTGATGTGCTGTATTCAAGAGACACATCTTATGTGCAAAGATGCACACAGACTCAAAATAAAGGAATAGAGAAAAATTTACCAAGCAAAAGGAAAAAAGGAAAAAGCAGTGGTAGCAATCCTAGTTTCTGACAAAACAGATTTTAAACCAACAAAGGTCAAAAAAGACAAAGAAGGGCATTACATAATGTAAAAGAGTTCAATTCGACAAAAATTTCTAACCATTGTAAATATTTATGAACCCAATACAGGAGCATCCAGATTCATAAAACAAGTTCCTAGAGACCTACAAAGAGACTTAGACCCCTACACAATAATAGTGAGAGACTTTAATACCCCACCGTCACTATTAGATAATTGAGACAGAAAATTAACAAAGATATTCAGGACTTGAACTCAGCTCTAGATCATGTGGACCTGATAGATGTCTACAGAACTCTCCTTCCCAAAACAACAAAATACAAAATTTTGTCTTGGCACCTTATGGCACTTACTCTAAAACTATCGCATAATTGGAAGTAAAACTCTCCTCAGCAAATACAAAAGAACTGAAATCATAACAAACAGTCTCTCAGACCACAGCACAATCAAATTATAACTCAAGATTAAAGCCCCCTCAAGGCCAGGCACAGTGGCTCACGACTGTAATCCCAGCACTTTGGGAGGCCAAGGCGGGCAGATTGCCTGAGCTCAGGAGTTTCTGACAAGCCTGGGCAACACAGTGAAACCCTGTGTCTACTAAAATCCAAAAAAATTTAGCCGAGTATGGTGGCGTGTACCAGCAGTCCCAGCTACTCAAGAGGCCGAGGCAGGAGAATTGCTTGAACCCAGGAGGCAAAAGTTGAAGTGAGCAGAGATCACACCATTGCACTCCAGCCATCTAAAAAAAAAAAAAAAGCCCCCTCAAAACCACACAACTACAGGGAAATAGAACAACCTGCTCCTGAATGACTCCTGTCTAAATAATAAAATTAAGGCAGAAATGAAGAAGTTCTTTAAGACCAAAGAAAGCAAAGAGACAACTCATCAGAATCTCCGGGATGCAGAGAAATCAGTGTTAAGAGGGACATTTATTGCACTAAATGCACAAAGCAAAAAGCTAGAAAGATCTCACATCGACACCCTAACATCACAACTAAAAGAACTAGAGAGCCAAGAGCAAACAAACCCCAGAACTAGCAGAACACAAGAAATAACCAAGATCAGGGTGGAACTGAAGGAGATGGAGACCCACAAAAACCCTTCAAACAATGAATCCAGGAGCTGGTTTTTGAAAAAAAAATCAATAAACTAGGTAGACCACTATCAAGACCAACATGGCACATGTATACATATGTAACTAACCTGCACGTTGTACACATGTACCCTAAAACTTAAAGTATAATAAAAAAAGAATAATAAAGATGTAAAGAGAGAAGATTCCAATGAACACAATCAGAAACAATAAGGGAAATACCACCACCAACCCCACAGGAACACAAACAACCAACAGAGAATACTAAAAGCACCTCTATGCAAATAAACAGGAAAATCTAGAAGAAATGGATAAATTCCTGGACACATAAACCTTCCCAACACTGAACCAGGAAGAATTTGAATCCCTAAATAGACCAATAACAAGTTCTGAAATTGAGGCAATAATAAATAGCTTACCAAAGGAAAAAAAGCCCAGGTTCAGATGGATTACAGCTGAATTCTACCAGAGGTAAAAAGAGGAGCTGTTATCATTTCTTCTGAAACTTTTCCAAACAATTGAAAAGGAGGGACTCCACCCTAAATCATTTTTTTCCTTGAGACGGAGTCTCACTGTCATCCAGTCTCACAATCACCCAGGTGATGATGTCACCTACAGTGGCACAATCTCAGCTCACTGCGACCTTCGCCTCCTGGGTTTAAGTGATTCACATGCCTCAGCCTCCAGAGTAGCTGGAACAACAGGCACACAACACCATGCCTGGCTAATTTTTTGTATTTTTAGTAGAGATAGGGTTTCACGAAGTTGGCCAGGCTGGTCTCGAACTCCAGACTTCTGTTGATCCACCTGCCTTGGCCTTCCAGAGTGCTGGGATTACAGGCATGAGTCACCATGCCCAGCCCACACTAACTCATTTTATGAGGCCAGCATCATCCTGCTTCCAAAACCCAGCAGAGACATAACAAAAAAAAAAGAAAACTTTGTGCCAATATCCCTGATGAACAATGCAATGCAAACATACTCAATATAATACTGACAAATTGAATCCAGCAGCACATCAAAAAGCTTCTCCATCACAATCAAGTCAGCTTCATCCCCTGGATGCAAGCTGGTTGTACATACACAAATCAATGAATGTAATCCATCACATAAACAGAACTAAAGACAAAAACTACATGATTATCTCAATAGACACAGAAAAGGCTTTCAAAAAAATTCGACTTCCCTTCATGTTAAAAACTCTCAACAAATTAGGTATTTAAGGAACATACATCAAAATAATAAGAGCCATTTATGACAAACCCACAGCCAATATTGTACTGAATGGGCAAAAACTGGAAGCATTCCCTTTGAAAATTAGCACAAGACAAGGATGCAATCTCTCATGACTCTTATTCAATGTAGTGTTGGAAGGTATGACCAGGGCAATCAATCAAAGGAAATAAAGAAAGGGTATGCAAATAGGAAGAAAGGAAGTCAAATTGTCTTTGTTTCAGATGATATGATTCTATCTAGAAAACCAGACTGACTCAGCCCAAAGGCTTCTTAAGCTGATAAGCAAATTCATCAAACTCTCAGGATACAAAATCAATGTGCAGAAATCTCAAGCAATCCTACACTCCAGCAACAGACAGGCAGAAAGCCAAATCATGAATGATCTCCCATTCATAATTGCCACAAAGATAATAAAATACCTGGGAATACAGCTAATAAGGGAAGTGAAGGACCTATTCAAAGAGAACTACAAACCATTGTTCAAGGAAATCACAAAGGACACAAGCAGAGGGAAAAACATTCCATACTCATGGATAGGAAGAATCAATATTGTGAAAATGGCCATACCGCCCAAAGCAATTTATAGATACAATGCTATTCCAATAAATACCATTGATATTCTTCACAGAATTAGAAAAAAAGAACTATTTTAAAATCATATGGAACCAAAAAAGAGCTTGCATAGCCAAAGAACAAAGCTGGAGGCATCAGGCTACCCGACTGCAAACTATACTACAAAGCTACAGTAACATAAACTTATGGTACTGGTACAAAAACAAGCACATAGACCAATGGAACAGAATAGAAAACTCAGAAATAAAACTGCACATCTACAACCATCTGATCTTCAACAAACTGGAAAAAAACAAGCAACGGGGAAAAGATTCCCTATTTAATAAATGGTGCTGGGAGAACTGGCTAGCCATATGCAGAAAATAGAAACTGGATTCCTTCCTTACACCTTACACAAAAATTAACTCAAGATGGATTAAAGACTGAAATGTAAAACCCAAAACTATAAAAGCCCTAGAAGAAAATCTAGGCAATATCATTCAGGAAGTAGGCATGGGAAAGGATTTTATGACAAAGACTCCAAAAGCAATTGCAACAATAGCAAAAATTGACAAATGGGATCTAACTAAACTAAAGAGCTTCTACACAGCAACCAAAACTATCACCAGAATGAACAGATAACCTACAGAATGGGAGAAAATTATTGCAATCTATCCATCTGACAAAGATCTAATTCCAGAATCTACAAAGAACTTAAGCAAATTTACAAGAAAAGAACAAACAACCCCATTAAAATTGCGCAAAGGACATGAAAAGACATTTCTCAAAAAAAAGACATAGGTATGGCCAACAAACATATTTTAAAAAGCACAACATCACTGATCATTGGAGAAATGCAAATCAAAACCATAATTAGATACCATCTGCTGCCGATCAGAATGGCAATTATTAAAAAGTCAAGAAACAACAGATGCTAGTGAGGCTGTGAAATAGGAATAGGAATGCTTTCACACTGTTGGTGGGAATGTAAATTAGTTCACCCATCGTGGAAGACAGTGTGGCAATTCCTCAAAGACTTAGAACTGGAAATACCATTTGATCCGGCATTCCCGTTACTGGGTGTATACCCAAAGGAATATAAATTATTCTATTATAAAGGTACTGGCATGTGTATGTTCATTGCAGCACTATCCACAATAGCAAAAACATGGAATCAACCCAAATGTCCATTAATGATAGACTGAATAAAGAAACTGTGGTACATATACACAATGGAATACTATACAGCCATAAAAAATAATAAGATCATGTCCTTTGCAAGGACATGGATGAAGCTGGAAGCCATTATCCTCAGCAAACTAATGCAGGAACAGAAAACTAAATACTGCATATTCTCGCTTATAAGTGGGAGCTGAACAATGAAAACACATTGACACAGGAAGAGAACAACACTTACTGGGGCCTGTTGTGGGAGGGCGGTGGAGGGGAGAGCATTAGGGAAAAGAGCTAGTGCATGCTGGGCTTAATACCTAGGTGATGGATTGATACGTGCAGCAAATCACCATGGCACACGTTTACCCATGAAACAAAACTGCTCTTCCTGCACATATACCCTGGAACTTAAAAACAAACAATAAAATAATTATTAAAAATAAAAATAAAAAGTGTACAAAGCCAAAAAAATTAGTAGAATCTCTATCAAAATTAAAATGATAAATTTTTTTTTTCAGAAACAGAAAAGCCCATTCTAAAATTTATATGAATCTTAAAGAATCCTCAGTAGTCAAAAAATCTTGACTTTTTTGGAAAAAGAACAAAATTTAAAGACTCATACAATCTGATTTTTTTTTCTTTTTGAGATGGAGTCTCACTCTGTCGCCCAGGCTGGAGTGCAGTGGCACCATCTCAGGTGACTACAAGCTCCACCTCCCAGATTCACACCATTCTCCTGGCTTAGCCTCCTGAGTAGCTGGGACTACAGGTGCCCGCCACCACGCCCAGCTAATTTTTTTTTGTATTTTTAGTAGAGATGGGGTTTCACCATGTTAGCCAGCATGGCCTCAACCTCCTTACCTTGTGATCTGCCCGGCTCGGCCTCCCAAAGTGCTGGGATTACCGGCATGAGCCACCGCACCAGGCCATATACTTTCTGATTTTAAAACTTACTCGAAGCTATAGTAATCAAAACAATGTGGCAATGGCACCAGACATATAGCTCAACAGTATAAAACAGAGTCAAGAAATAGCCTCTCATATACATGGTAACCTTTTTTCAAAAAGGAACTAAGTCCACTCAGTGGAGATGGAACAATCTTTTAAATAAATGGTGTTTGGAAAAGTGGATATTTACATTCAAGATATTGAAGTTGGATGTTTATACCATATTGAAAAATTAAGTCAAAATGAATAAAAATCCTAAATGCAAGAGATAAAACTATAAAGAATTGTTGGTGAAAATGTCGAATAATAAAGGCACTGTGGAAAATGATACAGCTGCTTCTCAACTTGCAGTGGAGTTTCACCTTTACAAACCCACTGCAAGTTGAAAAAATTGTAAGTAAAAATGCATTTAATATCTGCATAAAGTCATCATAATGTCAAAAATTGCAAGTCAAAGCATCATATGTCCAGGTATTCCTCAATTTACAATGTGGTTATGTTCCTATAAACTCATCATAAAGTCAAAAATCATCAAATTATTGTAAACCTGGAACCATCTGCATTGTAATTCCTCCAAAACTTAAACATAGAATAAGTATATGATCCAACAATTTTAGTTCTGAATGAAATAAATAAAATAATAAATAAATAAATAAAATAAAAGCAGACACTTGAACAGACATTTTTGGATTTTTTTTTATTCAGGGAGTACAATCGTGGTTTGTTACATGGATATGTTGCATGATGCTGAGGTTTGGGCTTCTGTTGAACCCTTCACTAAAATAATGAACATAGCACAAATAGGTAGCTTTCCAACCCTTGCCTCCTCCCTCACTCTCCTCTTTTGGAGTCCCCAGTGTCTACTGTTCCCATCTTTATGTCCATGTGTACCCAATGCTTAGCTCCCAATTATACCTGAGAACATGCAGTATTTGTTATTCTGTTTTTGCATCAAACAAATATTTCTATTCCCATGTTCATAGCAATACTATTCACAATAGCCCAAAGGCAGAAACAAAGCAAGTGGTCATCAACAAAGAAATCAATATAAATATAGTATGTATATACAATTTTTAAAAGCGAAGAAATTTTGACACATGCTACAACATGGATGAAGCTTGAATACATTATGCTAAGTGAAATAAGTCTGTCACAAAAAGACAAATATTGTAAGAATTCACTTACATGAAGTACCCACAGTAGTGAAATTCACAGAGATGGAAAGTGGAATGGTGGACCCTGGAGGATAGGGGAAGGGAAAGAAGGAGAGTAATTGTTTAACAAAAACAAAGTGTTAGTTGGAGACAATGAAATTGTTTTGGAGACAGGTGCATGGTAGTGATGGTTGCACAACAATATATGTACTTAATGACACAGAATTCTACACTTAAAATGGTTAAAATGGTGTTCCTCTTAAGTATATTTGCACTAATAAAAGATCCCTTAAATGTACTGAAACTATTCCAATTTGGATTTCCAAATACATTTTTTAAACATCTTGGCAGGTTTCTAAGCCATGGCAGAGCAATTTATTTTCAGTAATTTTATGACATTGCTAATTTTTGAAAAAAAATTTAGAAGAGCAAATTTTCATAAATGTCATTTGGAATCAAGATGAGATTGGCATTAAGATTAATCCAATACTCCGTAATTTATATTACTAGTATAATTATTGGTAAGTAGAATATGTAATATTTGAAATTGTTAACACAATTAACAGTTCAAACATTTGTATCATTTGTGTTTTACATAGGACTCTCTATGACAAACTGTCCAAGAAATAGTTAACATTATCCTAATTTTAAAGAAAAAAATAACATAGAACAGCATAATAAATGGCACATCACATCTGATAGTTAATGCCATGTTTTATGACTGCCAATGTATCATCTTTTTATTATCCATGTTCCAGTGTTCTAATATTCTAATGTCCTATTATATAATATTATTTAAATAAAATTAAAGGCTGGTTCCTGACAGGAAAGCAGCCTCAGCCATGATGTTCCTGTTTCAATAATGTGAAGAAGATATTTTTTCTTATGTAAAAATAAATCCAAATGGATTATTTCTGGCCCTTTTACTTTTGTATTAACAGAATTAGCTATAAGGAAGGTATTTTAGCCTATTAAGAAACATCTTCACTTGCTTTTACTTTTTTTTTTTCACTAAAAATTCAGTATGCAGGCATAAGCATTAATGACAGAATACACAGGAGGAAAGAACGAGCAGAAAAAGTCCTGGTCACTATTTCAGAGTGAGTAGGACCCACAAACCTGAAACCTGAACTACGTCTCATGTGAAAGGCAGGAGGGAGGCGTGAACTTTCACAGACTCTCTCCACACATTGGCACCTGGAACGTCACAGGATTCGTTCCGTGATTCTATTGGAGTTCATCAAAATAACTCTTCAGATAGGTATCGCCACTGATATTTTATAGATGACAAAACTGAGATTCAGAGATTTTCAGTAAACTCCTCTAGATCCACAAACACACATACATATATGCATATATACATATATACATACATATCTGTGAATAAATGTGACATCTAGATAAATAAACGTACATTAATATAAACCTTTTAAAAATGTGTGGTGTAGTTCATCCCTCAAAATTTTTTGGCAGTAAATCTGAAATAAGGCTGGTTCAGTTTTTAATCAGTCAAAACAAAAATAATAGAAAAAAATTATTAAAACAAAAACTCCACATAAGTGTTAAATAATTGAGAAAGTATAAGAAATGTAAAACAAGTAGGATTTTTTAATGATTAAAATTTACTCATTACAAATCTTTTTCCGTTTCCTCGTATCACCCAGTTTTACTGTACTTTCACTTCACCTGGCAACTATTATGTAGCTTCACAGAAAAATGGTTTCTCAGAAACTCTAAATGAAAGATATTTTCTATCTTGCTCCCAATGTAAAAGATTCCCTACTGGAAGAATTCAGTTATAAAAAAACACCCATATAATCTCCTCTGTAAATCAAGTTGAGGATGTACATATTCAACGTAATATTTACGACTCTCCAAATGCTGCCCAAGTTTCAAATGAAGAACCTATTACTAACTTTTGAAGTCAAAAAGCATCATTGCATTGCATGGATCTCTTTCCTATCCTTCAATTTAGAGTTGAAAGTGAGATGAAGAAAGTAGCCTAATTTAGTGATTCATATACTCAGAGAAGACAAAGATTTTTCAAACATAGTCTCATTATCACAAGGAAGAAAAACTGAATCACAAGATTTGAAGAGAGTTATTCACGACTGTGCAGTGACCTAGTGACAGAGTTGGGAACCAAGGAGGATGGTCGTCTTGAGTCCAGATACTGCAGTTTTCCACGGAGGCACAGATTTTACTCCCTATATTTTCCTCACCTTTGATCAAAGCTATTCTCAAAGAAAAAATTATTATTCATCACAATATAAGGCTGGTCTCCTTAAAGTTGGTATGATCATTTGCATAGGTGCAGAAAACGTGTGGATTTACCAAAAAAAAAAAAAAGAGAGAGAGAAAAGGAAAGAAAAAGCTGGGGAGGCAGGGGCACAAGTTGGCTTTGCTGGAAGTTTTATAAAAAATCAGACTGAAGTTTTAAAAGTCTCCCAAATCCAAGACATTCTTTATGGAGTTTTCCAGAATCTGGTTTACTTCCTGTCTTCTGAAGCGATATCTAAAATATACAAAAGTTCTGAATCTCTGAAACTTCCAGAAACTGATCTCCGTTACTTGCACATAGGGCTGGGAAATGGTGGAACAGGTGACAGTGTCAGTTTCACTGCAAAAGCTGAGAACTCATTGACTCCATGAGTCAACCTTAATTCCTTAAAACAAGCTGTCTGTACCTGAATCTGCATGTCTACAGTAAGAATTATTTCACATTGACAACACTTGTCTAGAATGTCAATCAGATGACACAAAAGAGTGTCTTCTGGAGTATAGACAAGGACAGCTCTCCACAGCATCCTGGCATGGAATCCTACAGGAGATTCCTCCTTCCTTCAAGTTCCTCCACAATAGATTCTCCTAAGAAGAGACACAGTACATAATGTTGTATTTGACTGACTTAGGAATAACTGATCTTATTTAATATTTACACAATGTGTATTTGTAATTGTTGAGAAGGGTATGAAGTTGGAGAACCACAACTCTTTAAGGTGTAAAGGAGTAAAGAATATAAAGTGAATATTTGCTTTATATGTGTGTATGTGTGCTTCCAAGTCACATCCTGCCATTGAGGTCCACGATGGTGCATCAGCTCTCACAGATAGATACACAGGTAAGTGGGCAGACAGACATTTCCATGGCTAGACAGAAACTGATTATGAAAGTATATCCTTTGACTGTTATTTTGGAATGAGGACGTGCTTACTCTGCTTCACGCTGTAAGTTCACGGGACAGAGACTCCATTTAAAATAAATCGAATTCTACCTCTTACAATTACTAAAAATGTAAGCTTTTGTTGCTGAATGTCTGACCCTGTATCTTATAATTACAACAGGGAGAAGAATCCATGGGTTATTAGAAGCTGTGACATAGTGACTGTGTATTACTTGACTGGGTGTATCACTGAAGAGAACCTGCAAGTTTCAGCATCTTCATCATTATCATTGCCAGCATCATCAACATAATCACTATCACTTACACTCACACACTTCTTATCCGCTATGACTGTAGAGTAATATAGCCTTCACATTGTTTCCACATACTATGCTCATTTGCTTCTCACAAAACTCTGTGTGGTTGTTAAGGCAGCTATTTCTATAATTTCACTGGAAGTTTACCTTGTGTCCCGAAAGAAAAAATAAATACATTGTAAAAGTTAAAAGCACAAAACACTACAATTTGGATCAAGTTGCGTGTAAAAACAAAATCTGGATACCTATAGCACAGCTACTAATCATACGGTTACCTTCATTATTGATTTCCAGAAGAACATCCTTCTTTTAAGAAAATATATCATTGCACTGAAGACTGGTGATTTTAACCATTCTCGTTGTACCTTTACTTTAATGCCCCTTTAACATTTTTATGCAAAAACAACACTAATACTTTCCAGGCATTTCATTAGAAACACTGGATTCATATAAGGTAAAATACAAAGTGAGAAGTAGCAATAAGATTATAATGAGCATCATATAATCACTCATCATTCATGGCAAAAGAAATCAAACCAAAATAGCACAAAACACCAGCCAAGTAGGAATGAGGAAATGCTGCCCCCTACAATCATTATTATGAATGTGGGTTCTTTAATTTCACTTGAGCTCATAAAAGCATAGTCTAATATAATGTATCCCTGTCTCTTCAATTGACCATCATTTACCTTCCCGTCCAGAAAACACATTTATGAATTAGGTTCAAAACCATTTTTGGTTGTGTGCATTTCATACTCCAAGATTCCTGCTGAATGGTGTTATAGAAAGTACAGTTATTAGTGCTGAAATTCACCTCAATTCTATTTCTGAAAAAAGGTCTCTTAAGCACTTGCCAGAGTTCCTTCTTCCCTGTAATCAATAAAAATTTAAAAATACAATTATAATTAGTACCTTTATTATTTCCTCATTTCCAAACACTCACTGCCTTTGCTTAGCTTACGGCAGTCCTACAGTCATCATAGAAACAAATACATGGTTTTTAAAGAAATGTGTATATTGGTTTTTCATCCCTGCATGTGAGATTTCAGAGACCTCCATGGGGATTCGGTAGCAATCATGAATCCAGTCCTTCTTTACCTGGAGAATGAGATTAACAGTTGTTTTGCTGATATTCACTGGGGATTGTCCAGTGAGACTTTGGACATTCTAGGCTGAGTCACTAATACAGAGGGTGGCCTTAGTCCAAGGTTCAGATATGAGTTCTGATCATGTATTTAGATGTTTCAAGGCATGTCAAGGGTAAACTCAGTGGAGAAAGAAACAAATATATTTATTCACATTATGTCAATGTTATTGTGTTTCTAAACTTCATGAAACTCCATAGCCTGAATGTTGTTATTCAGGCATCCACAGTAACAATGCGTCTGCATTCATTAATTTCTTTCTCCGTTTGGTTTATATTGGCAGTAAGATTTAAACCACTAAAATAGAATGAGGTTAATTTTATAGAAACACATAAGTAGAAATTATTAAAATATCGCATACATGGGAGTTATCTATTAACATATTTTGGGTATTAAACATGTTCAAATTGTTTCCTTTCATTTGGAAATGCTCATTAAATTGAAAAGCTATTTTCTCCTATTAAATTAGATGACCTAATGATGTTACTACTCTTGTTTTATTAATATTTAGAAAATATTTATTAATTGAATTGAATTTTTACTCAGTAGAGTACTTTAAATGTTCTCGAATTTCTTACTGTTTATAGCAAATGAATTAATTATACCATCTATCTGAGAAAAGTGATATTGGTTCATTTTAATTTTTTTGAGTTTTAAAAATATTTGAATTTTTTAAACATGTATTGATTGATAAATTGTACTTTGACATATATTGATATATATTTTGACATATTTATTGTGATACATATTTTGATATGTATAGGCTAGTCAGGTGAAGCAGTGGCAGTGGAGAAGGAACCAAGAAACCTGTAACTAGTTGTGATCAATTAGTTGTAAACACCACTACACTCCGACCAGCCAATTTAATTTACTGATGCATGTATATGTTTTATAATTATCCAGTCAGCATAGTTAGTGTACAGTCTTGGCAAGGACAATTTCCTGAAAGTCAAAGTGTGCAGATGTTTCAATATTCCCGCATTTGAAAAGCTGAAGAATTCCTTTCTTAAGTTTACAACCGTGATTTTTAACGTAATAGTAGGTGCCATGTCTAGTGCAACCAGGTAACTGTTTTCACATCTTCAAAAGACAGAAGACAAAACCTATTTGCGCTGAAAGAGGAGATAAGAATCCTTATTTGATGCGGTAAGACAGACTTCAAGGGAATTTCTGTAAAAAAGAAAGACTTTTAGGTTTACCTCAAAACTACCCACGAGGGTCAAGTATGCAAATATGGTGGATATGAGTCAGCAACTTACTCTTGAAATACGCTACTTCTCCCTGAGGGTGTTCTGGAAGCAGTAATTGACTATTTCACATATCTACAGTAGAAAGCACAAAACCAAGCATAGAGTAGGTCAAAACTTGGTTTATTCTGAAAGAAGAGATTAGAATGAGGAACGTAAATAAAACTGGGCTGTTTATTTTACATTTTTAAATGTCTGTGTTCAGTGCAATTGAATTATTCATTAAATCACATAGTTCTTTAATTTCATAGTCATATTTACTTATTAAGAAACCCCATTCTATGTCCCAAAGATACAAGATTCAGATGATAACCATTTATGTCAAATCTGTTGTAAAAGAGCAAGAGACAGTGGCACAGGCCTGTAATTCCACCTATGGGGAGACTGAGGCAGGAGGATTGTTACAGGCCCACAGGGTTCAATTGCCCATGGAGTGGTAGCAGACCAAAACACCAAAACAGTGGGAGTTGCAGCAGAGAAAGTTTAATAATCATAGGTCAGCTGAAGGAGGAAGAGAAAGGGAGCTTCAAATCAGCCTTCTGGAGACACTTGGGGAAGGCGTTTTTTTTTTTTTTTTTTTTTTTTTTTTTTGAGACGGAGTTTCGCTCTGTCGCCCAGGTCGGACTGCGGACTGCAGTGGCGCAATCTCGGCTCACTGCAAGCTCCGCTTCCCGGGTTCACGCCATTCTCCTGCCTCAGCCTCCCGAGTAGCTGGGACTACAGGCGCCCGCCACCGCGCCCGGCTAATTTTTTGTATTTTTAGTAGAGACGGGGTTTCACCTTGTTAGCCAGGATGGTCTCGATCTCCTGACCTCATGATCCACCCGCCTCGGCCTCCCAAAGTGCTGGGATTACAGGCGTGAGCCACCGCGCCCGGCCGGGGAAGGCGTTTTTAAGGAGTCCGGATGCGTGATGAGCTAAAGTGTGGGTATTGCTGATTGGTGGAGAGTGAGTGGTGACGTCATGAGACAGGGAGATGAAGACGCTGCATCCTGCACTGAGTCAGTTTCTTAGACAAGTTAACTTTGAGCAACCAGCATTCTACTCTGTTTCTATGTATTCCATTTATTTTTAGGCCCAATATATAAGGGAGATCATGTAGTATTTTTCTTTTTGTGTCTGAAAGCCAGTCTGGATTGAAGGACAGAAAAAAGAGAAACTGAGATTTGCACTGGGAGGCTACAATCTTGGTAACATAATTATTGTCCACTCGTTTTGTCAGAGGCTTTTGAACCAGAGCGACTCCACCTTGAGTGAGGGCTGGAAAATGAGCCGGGGACTTGCTGGGCTGCATTCCCAGAAAGTTTGGTATTCCTAGATAGTTTGATATTTCTAGAAAGTTTGGTATTTTGAGCCTTTAGATGTTTACGGCTAAGGAAACAGATTGACAATGTTTACTAAACAGATCCAGACTTGGGAGTGTCCAGATATCCCGACATCCTAAGAACAAAGGCATTCTTAATTTTTCTTTAAAGATAATAATATTGATTCTTGAAAAATATACTAATTAAGAAAATTAATCCTTTATCACAAACCCTAGTAGCAGAGCACATCTCCCCATGCTCTTTTTTATTCTATATATAAACAAGTATTGTACCTAGGGTGGACACGTCCTCCTCTTACTTTCGGGAACGCCCTACTCTGTCTGTGGAGTAGCTGTTCTTTCACACTTTGCCTTCTTAATAAACTTGTTTTTGCTTTGCACTGGGGACCTGCACTGAATTCTTCCTTGTGCAGGATCCATGAACCCTCTTTTGGGGTCTGGATCAGGACCCCTTTCCAGTAAGTTTCACAAACTCTTTCATGTCTAGTCCATCTATCTGCCTCTCTTGCAACTCCATTCAATGTCTGTCCAAATAGGGCCACCGAAATTTGTTGGCCTGCTTGAGAAATACAAAACAAATCATGTCTACTCTTTTCTTCTCCCATGAATATTTCTCCAAGTATCATGCATATAACAAACTTCTCACATATTCCATATCTCCTTCATATCGGCCCATGTAAATAGATAAATCTGTGGCCGTGGGACTGTTGCCTCAACATATAGTGCAGAATTTACTTACCATCCTTTATGTATCTGAACTCTCTTTTGACATGCCTCAGAAAGCAAACATTTCACTGTCTCTGATAGAACTCAAATACTTACTTCTCTACCTGACTTTCAGCTATGGCTATTGTATATAGGTGGAGAGTCTATATTAGATTTTTGGATCCCAGATTTTAACATGGGAATGGGTAGCTCAAAGCAGCAGGGCGGGTGCAAATCCTCAAAGGCTACCTGGACACCGCAGAAATAAATTCACCAAGTTTCTAGGGCTGTGAATGGCACCCAGAAGGAGCAAGAGTGGTGACTTCACAGAACTCATTATCAAGCACATATTGGAAACTGCTCATGGTGGCAGATTTTCAGACCTTACTAGTGTCCATTTTTTGGTGATTTGGCAAGCCTTTGCATCTTCTTAAAATATTATATTTTCTGTTTAATTACGATGAATTTATTTTTGTTGTTTTTAGTTAAGAATCTTAGCTGATAATATCAAATTTCAAATTATATTTTGATTTAGTTTGAAAAACTTTAGTGAAGAGAGGATGAGGATCTGGAGCAAGGCAGTGATTATAAAATATGAGAAAGAGAGTTTTAAAATATTAATGTAGACAAGATTGATAAAATATTATGATTAATTTTATACATTACAATGAAAGAACAAAAGACCTAAGTTAACTTGCAGTTGCTAGATTGTCTCATCATTTTATGTGACATGTGATGGTCTGTGTCCCTCACAGTGAAGTAAGTGCTTGGTAAGCACTTGTCTTTTATTTTATTGTCTTTTTTGCTTGTTTGTTTTTGTTTTTTGTTTTTTTGCAATTTATTTATTTGTTTATTTATTTTTTATTATTGTACTTTAAGTTTTAGGGTACATGTGCACAATGTGCAGGTTATTTACATATGTATACATGAGCCATGCTGCTGCACTGCACCCACTAACTCGTCATCTAGCATTAGGTATATCTCCCAATGCTATCCCTCCCCCCTCCCCCCACCCCACAACAGTCCCCAGAGTGTGATGTTCCCCTTCCTGTGTCCATGTGTTCTCATTGTTCAATTCCCACCTATGAGTGAGAATATGCGGTGTTTGGTTTTTTGTTCTTGTGATAGTTTAGTGAGAATGATGATTTCCAATTTCATCCATGTCCCTACAAAGGACATGAACTCATCATCTTTTATGGCTGCATAGTATTCCATGGTGTATATGTGCCACATTTTCTTAATCCAGTCTATCATCGTTGGACATTTGGGTTGGTTCCAAGTCTTTGCTATTGTGAATAGTGCCGCAATAAACATAGGTGTGCATGTGTCTTTATAGCAGCATGATTTATAGTCCTTTGGTTATATACCCAGTAATGGGATGGTTGGGTCAAATGGTATTTCTAGTTCTAGATCCCTGAGGAATCGCCACACTGACTTCCACAATGGTTGAACTAGTTTACAGTCCCAACAACAGTGTAAAAGTGTTTTCTCCACATCCTCTCCAGCACCTGTTGTTTCCTGACGTTTTAATGATTGCCATTCTAACTGGTGTGAGATGGTATCTCATTGTGGTTTTGATTTGCATTTCTCTGACGGCCAGTAACGGTGAGCATTTTTTCATGTGTTTTTTGGCTGCATAAATGTCTTCTTTTGAGAAGTGTCTGTTCATGTCCTTCACCCACTTTTTGATGGGGTTGTTTGTTTTTTTCTTGTAAGTTTGTTTGAGTTCATTGTAGATTCTGGATATTAGCCCTTTGTCAGATGAGTAGGTTGCAAAAATTTTCTCCCATTCTGTAGGTTGCCTGTTCACTCTGATGGTAGTTTCTTTTGCTGTGCAGAAGCTCTTTAGTTTAATTAGATCTCAATTGTCAATTTTGGCTTTTGTTGCCATTGCTTTTGGTATTTTAGACATGAAGTCCTTGCCCATGCCTATGTCCTGAATGGTAAAGCCTAGGTTTTCTTCTAGGGTTTTTATGGTTTTAGGTCTAACGTTTAAGTCTTTAATCCATCTTGAATTGATTTTTGTATAAGGTGTAAGGAAGGGATCCAGTTTCAGCTTTTTACATATGGCTAGCCAGTTTTCCCAGCACCATTTATTAAATAGGGAATCCTTTCCCCATTGCTTGTTTTTCTCAGGTTTGTCAAAGATCAGATAGTTGTAGATATGCGGCGTTATTTCTGAGGGCTCTGTTCTGTTGCATTGATCTATATTTCTGTTTTGGTACCAGTACCATGCTGTTTTGGTTATTTATGTGAGATTAGGTAAATCTTTCAACATCAGGCAACTACTACCTTTTCTCATATTATTATGACATTCTCATACAGTCCTAATGATGAGAAAATTCTACTTAATTTAAATTAGAGGAGAAGAAAGTCATAAACATTTGCCATTCTATAAGTCAAAATTTAAATTATTCAGTACTCTAGTAAACTCTAAATGCTTAATTGAAATGAGTATATCCAGATCCATATTTGTATCTCCTATTCAAATGTTAATGTTCTTGTTTGAAAATGATTATTCCAATTGTAGTACAGATGACTCTAGGACAACGCGGAAATTAGGGTCACTGACCGCCAAGCAGTAGAATATGCATTTAACTTTGAACTCCCCAAAACCTAACTACTGATATCCTACTATTGACAGCAAGCCTTACAAATAACATAAGCATTCAATTAACACAACTTTGTATCTTATATGTCTTATATACTCTACTCTTACAGTAAAGTGAGCTAAAAAAGAATATCTTATTGAGAAAATCATCAGAAAGAGAAAATATGTTTACTATTTATTTAGGGATAGAGGTTTGTCATAAAGTTCTTCATCATTGTTGTCTTCACGTTGAGTGGGCTGAGGCGGAGGAAGAGGAGGAGAGGTTGTACTTGTTGTCTCAGGAGTGGTGGAGGCAGAACAAAATCCACATATATGTGGACCTGCACAGTTCAAATCTGTGTTGCTCAAGGACCATTCAGTCATTCACCACTGCTGTCACTTGGATAATATGAGGCTCTTCTTACTTGCTCATTCTACCTTCCTTCTTGCCTTCTCTCCTCAGAGATAAAAGAGTCTCTCAGGAATGGGCTCTTCTGGAGAGCAATGGCCTTTCACTCAGAGAATGGACCTAAGCAGATAACCTTTATGAAATAATGTTGATCCTTTTAAGCACATGCCTAAGCAGGTATAAAAATAGTGGAGCAGAGGAGCTGATCCCAATCCAAGCTGAATAGTCCTATTGATTTATGAGAAGAGTAAGTGGAAATAAAATTGTGCAGAAGAGAATGTCTTGCATGAAAATACCCGTGGCAACTGAGGAGGCAAATCTTGAGTGTGTTGTGACGTGACTGGGAAATGATTCAAATAACCTACTCCACACTCCACTAAGTCAACTATAGTCTAAGAGGGTCTATAGACTGTAACTTCTATAGAACTTCTTATACAGAAACTCTTGTTTTTCTAAAGCCAAATTGGCTGCTCCACAAACATAATTATTTATCCTCAGGTAAACTTATTAGTAAAACATTACTTTAAGAAAAAGAAGAAGACATACATACCAGTTGAGAGTAAATAAAAACTATTTAATATTCAATTAGATTCAGTAATTTTAACTAATTTGTTATTTTTGTCTTATTTTTATAATAATGGGAGATAAACAACTATTATGTAATTATTATGCTGAATGATATGATTAGTTTGGACCTTTATTGTTTTGATTTCTACATGTTAATGAAACCCTGTTGCCCACAATTTAGTAGAAAATATATGACCTATATTTGATTAAAAAAAAAACAGGCAGGGCATGGTGGCTCACACCTGTAATCGCAGCTAACTTAGGAGGCTAGGCAGGAGAATCGCTTGAACCCAGGAGGCAGAGGTTATGGGGAGCTGAGATTGCGCCATTGCATTAGAGCCTGGGCAACAAGAGCCAAAATCCATTAAAAAGACAAACAAACAAACAAACAAAAACCACACACAAACAAAATCAAAATAGATGTCTTAGAATATGTATTAATATGTATTATAATATTGTCAAGACTAAATTAAAAGACAAATTTCTTCTAGATTAACTTCTGTTTGACACACTGGGCATGTAATAATGTTTTTCTTCACTGCTGTACACTACTAAGTTGATATGAACCTAGCGCTTTGACTCTAACACAGAACGTATGTCTACATTTTCACTGAGAAGATTTTCTGAATCACTTGTGTCAGGGCCCCCATCACCTCCTTGTTTCTCAGGCTGTAGATGATGGGGTTGAGCATTGGGGTGAGGATGGTGTAGAAAACAGCCAGAATCTTGTCCTCTGTTGGAGATCGCAGGGATCTTGGACGTACATAGGTATAAGCAAAGGGTGCATAGTAGAAGGACACTACAGTGAGGTGGGTGCTACAGGTTGAATAGGCCTTCTTCCTCCCTTCTGCAGAGTGCATGCGGTAGACAGCAAGGAGAACCCGGCCATAGGAACATGCAATACCAGTGAAAGGAAGCACAAGAAAGATGGTGCTGCTCAAAAACACTGTGCTCTCATAGACCCAAGTGTCTGTGCAGGCTAGCGTCAACATAGCTGGAACATCACAGAAAAAATGATTGATGGCTCTGGACTTGCAATATGGGATACAGAGTGCATATACTGTGTGAGCACAAGAGTTGATAGAGCTTATCATCCAAGATCCTGTTATCATCATCACACACACTCTTTTGCTTATACGGATGGGATAGTGGAGAGGAAAGCAAATGGCCACATAACGATCATAGGCCATTGATGTCAGGAGCAGCCCTTCTGCAACTGCTAAAGTCAAGAAGAAGAAACTCTGAATCCCACATCCAGTGAAGGAGATAGACTTGTTTCCATACAGAAAATCATAAACCATCTTTGGAACAATGGTGGAGATGTAATTTAGGTCAATGAGGGAGAGCTGACTAAGTAGGAAATACATAGGTGTGTGGAGATGGATGTCCAAAAAGATGAGAAGAATCATGGATAGATTTCCAATTAGAGCCATTAGGAAAATGAGAAAAATGAGGGTGAATACGAAAAGGCCAATTCTTGATTGTGGGAACAGCCCCAATAAGATGAAATCAGTTGATGTTTGATTGTAATTTTCCATGGGGAATTCCTACAATCCATCCTGAAGGGAGACAAAAGGGTAAATTAAGAACAGTAATTCACTTTTATCCACAGTGGCTGCATTACAAGACTCCCAGTGGATGCCTGAAACTGGGGTTGATACTGAACCCTATATAAACTATTTTTATATCCATAAATGCATATTATAAACTTTAATTTATAAATTAGGCAAGGAAGAGATTAACAAAAATAACTACAAATAAAATAGAACAATTACAACTATATACTGTAATAAAACTTATGTGAATGCAATCTATATTTTTCTTTCTTTCAAACCATCATATTGAAAAAGTGCTCATTTTTCTTGTGATGACAAAATGCTTCATGGGAAATCAAAATGTCTACATGATGACATAAAGTGAGGAGAACAAGGTAGGCACTGTGATGTGACGTTGGGCTATGACTGAAAACCAATTGAAAATTTATGAAGTGTTCATTTGTGGACTTTTCCATGCAATATTTTCAGACCGCATTTGATTACAGGAGAAACCACGGAAAGCAAAACAGTGAATGAGAGGGGACTACTTATAGAATAGTAAGCCAATTGTTTTTAAAAATCCTTAGTTTAGTAAGGCTGTGAATTATTTATAGAACTTTACAACACTTAAATGATGAACTCATTTATTCTATTTAGAAAAAAATTATTTTCTTACACAGAGATTAATATTTGATGAGACAAATATTTATAACCAAAGTTTTTCTAAGAAATATATACATTTATAGGAAAAATCATTTGTCTTACAACTTCAAAAAGATATGAATGTTTGATGCCCAACACAATCTCAGATGCCATTAAGATCATGTGCTATGCTTAAAACATACGCATGGGAAGGTAAATTAAATGCATATGCTATGGATCCATATTATGAATAAATTAGCATTACTTTTTCTGGATGATTTTTCTCACTAAATTTATTCTTTAAGACTTACTTGTAGAACTGCAGCAGCCTATGATTCATTTGGAGGAACTTATATTTCCTTCTTGAATTGTCTTTGCATAATAATTTGAAGTCAAACTTTCTCTAAGTTAGACATCATTATTTGGTTCTTCTACTTAAAAATGTAGAATGAATTGTTATTTTAAGTACCTTTTTCATGAAATGTAATTCATAGTCTTGATTTTGAATGTCCACCACCATCAAATGTCCATTCTCTTTTGCCTTCTCATCCAATTTCTGAATTCTCAAGTTAATGCAGACTCTCTATCTCAATATCTATATGCCAAGTTCATTTTAGCTTCCATGTCTCTGCTCAAGCTCTCCCCGTATACGATGTATATTCTGTGTCTTTGCTTCCCTCATGCTTAGATTACATAGACTTTAGGGATCCTCCCATTCATATGAAGGGATCATAAGTATATTTATCAATTTTTTGTTAAGATCCATAAAGTATAATGTAATCTAAGCATTAGGGAAGCAAAAACAATAAATCACTTTACATCTTCAAAAGACAGGATTTGGAGAAATGACCATTCACTTAAATGGAAAAAAGGAAACAGCAACCTGACAGTTTTCTGGGTAGAGGTGGTTCGAGTATTCTTCTCCAGATAGAAGACATCACTGGACAACTTTGCACAGGATACATAAAAGGAATGAAGTTTTTAGGCTTGAAAATTATTTTAGAGCCAAAGGTCAGCCGACCTTTGAGGAAGTGTAACAATATGAAAGAGTAAGATCTACACAGTGTGCAAACTCACATCTATACACACACACACAAAGATGAACACTCACTTAAGGATCAATACACGTGTATGTACACTGAGTTAAAACTATCACAAACCTGCAAAAAGAGTGAGTTTTTAAAATTAAGAATTCCTATTTTCAGGAATGAAGATGTCTATGATATGTTATAAAATCCACCAAATAAATATCATTAGCTATATGCAAGGATGTGAAATGTAACAATAAATGACTCTTTGAAATTAAAGATACAATAATTGATACCGCATTAAATGAAAGTTTCAAAATACGAAAGTGAAAAATCTATCAGAAGGAAAAAAAAACTGAAAAGATTAGAAGAGACAAAAATATTAGAAAATTAATGCAACAGGACCAACATATACTTACAGGCATTCCCAGAAATGCACATAGCAAATAATAATAAACTCAATACCATACAAAAATTCTCAGAACTGGAATATATTAGCCACCATATTCAGATGGCATGTAAAATCACAAAGTAAGTGAGAAATATTTTTAGTAAAATATTTCATGAAAATTCTGTCTTCTAGAAAACATTCTAAAAATTTTAATTATAAGTTTTTGAGAGAAATAGTAGTAATAATAATCAGAAGAAATCTATGTATATATGTATCACCATCAGGATTTACAAGAGTATATATTTTATGTATTTAATCAATAAATTTCATAAGAGGAGATGATGCTGTCAACCCCTTACTGCAGATATAAAGTGGAATGTAATTATGTTGACAGAATGGGAGAAAGGTAATGAGTGTGGGGGTAGTGATGTTGGGGGAAGCAGGTCACTATTGACTGTGGCCTATGTCATGAGTCAAGGGCTGGTATTTGGGGTATATAAATCAAGCATTAGCAGATAAGCATATTGTTTGAAAATACATGGACAAAAATAGGGAAAAACTGGTAAGAAAATTTGAAGTCCTTACCTTTGGGTTCAGGAAGGGTCTGTTATGGGTCCAATATTTTAGCCTGTGGACTGTTGTCACCATGTCTACGCATTACTTGAATAAAACATTAAAGTGATGTAAAAATTATGTCACAGTTAAGAATTTAACCCACAGCTTCATCATAATATGAGACTGACACTTTTTTTTTTCTTTTTGAGATGGAGTCTCGCTCTGTCACCCAGGCTGGAGTGCAGTGGCGCGATCTCGGCTCACTGCAAGCTCCGCCTCCCAGGTTCACTCCATTCTCCTGCCTCAGCCTCTCAAGTAGCTGGGACTACAGGCACCTGCCACCAAGCTGGCTAAATTTTTGTATTTTTAGTAGAGACGGGGTTTCACCGTGTTAGCCAGGATGGTCTCGATCTCCTGACCTCGTGATCCGCCCATCTCGGCCTCCCAAAGTACTGGGATTACAGGCATGAGCCACCGTGCCTGGCCAAGAGTGACACTTTTTAGTCTAAGATTTGGAGAAAGACAAAAATGTCCACTTTCACGGCATCTATTCAGCATATTACTGGAAGTTCAGCCAAAGCGATTGAACAAAAAAAAAAAAAAAGGGAAAGATAAATATGTTATCTTAATTCAAAAGAAAGAAGTGAAATAATTTTTATTTGTTTATGACATAACTATATGTGTAGAAAACCTTAGGACTCCACGCAAAGAAAACTGTTATAAATAATTAACACAATAAGCAAAATTGCAGCATGCAACATCAACAGCCAAAACCTTTTGCACTCCTATACACCCACAATTTGCTGTGACTCACAGAAAGTGTCAGAAGCAAAATTGTCTGTTCTGAACCTAGGCTTCAAGTGGCTATACACTAACAATAAACAATCTAAAAATGAGATTGTGATTTTATTTACAATAGTATCAGAAAGAAACGAAACACTTAAGGATTAAACCTAACCAAGGAAGTAAAAGGCTTATATATTGAAAAATGACAAAATGCTGATTAGAACAATCAAAGAAGACACAGATAAATGGAAATACATTCTGTATTTATAGACTGGAAGGCTTAACACTGTTAAGATGTCAAGAATATCCAAAGTCACTTAAAGATTCAATGGAATCTATGAAAATTCTAATGATAAATCTTTTTCAGAAATAGAAAAACCATGCTAAAATTTCTATGGAATTTCAAAGGACCTTAAATAGTCGAAAAATCTGGAAAACGTTTTTTTAAGGACAAAATTGAAAAACTGATACTTTCTGATTTTAAAACTTACCAAACGCCTCCAGATTTGTTTTTTTCACTTAGTCTTGCTTTGGCTATGCAGACTCTTTTTGGTTCCATATGAATTTGAGAATTGTCTGTGAAGAATGATGGTGGTATTTTGATGGGAATTACATTGAATTTGTAGGTTGTTTTGGCAATATGGTCATTTTCACAATATTGATTCTACCTATCCATGAGCATGGTACGTGTTTCCATAGGTTTGTTTCGTCTATGATTTCTTTCAGCAGTGTTTTGTAGTTTTCCTTATAGAGTTCTCTCACCTCCTTGGTTAGGTATATTCCTAAGCAGTTTATTATTTGCAGCTGATTTGTGAACATTAATTTTGTATCCTGAAACTTGGCTGAATTCTTTTATCAGTTTTAGAAGTTTTCTGGAGAAGGCTTTAGAGTTTTCTAGGTAAACAATCATATTATAAGCAAAGAGGGACAGTTTGGCTTCCTCTTTACTGATTTGGATGCCCTTTATTTCATTCTCTTTCTGACTGCTGTGGCTAGGACTTCCAATACTATGTTGAAGAGGTAAGAGTGAGCATCCTTGAATTTTTCCACTTCCAAGAACTACAGAAATCAAAACAGTATGACATTGGTATAAAGCCAGACATGTATAACAATAGAAGAAAAGAGAGGACAGGTGCCATGGCTCACACCTGAAATCCCAGCACTTTGGGAGGCTAAGGCAGGCAGAATTGCTTGAGCTCAGAACATTGAGACCAGCCAGTAAAACATGGTAAAATCCTGTCTGTACAAAAAAAAAAAAACAAAAATTAGCCAGGTGTGGTGGCTCGCACCAGTAGTCCCATCTACTTGGGGGCTTGAGATGGGAGGGTTGCTTGAGCCCAGGAGGCAGAGGTTGCAGTGAGCCAAGATCACACCACCACATTCCAACCTGTGTGACAGAGTGAGACCCTGTTTCAAAAAAAAATGAAGGAGAAGAAGAAGAAGAAATAGAAAACAGAGTCAAGAAATAGACTGTCATATACACAGCAATATTTTTTTGGCAAGCAAACCAAGTTTACTCAATGTGGAAGGGACAGTCTTTTCAACAAACGGTGTTTGAAAAACTAGATATCTACATTCAAAATATTGAAATTGGATGCTTACTTTACACCATATAGAAAAATTAAGTCAAAATAAATCAAAGACCTAAGTGTAAGAGCTAAAACCATAAAAGTATAGTCAGTGGCAAAATGAAATTGTACAGCCTCTGTGGAAAATGATTGAGAGGCTTCTCGATTTATGATGGGTTTCATCCTGATAAACCCATTATGAAAATATTATAAGTAAAATATACATTTACTATCCTGAAAAAGTCATCTCAATGTTAAAATATTGTAAGTCAAACCATTGTAATTCCAGATGCTCCTTGATTTACAATAGGGTTTTATGTTTTTATAAATGCATAGTAAAGACAAAAAGTTGTCAAATTATTGTGTTTCTGGACCATCTGTATAGTAATTTCTTCAAAAATTAAACAGAGTTAGTATAGGTTCCAACTATTTCACTTCTGAATGTGGACCCACAGAAACAAGACACACAAAAACATACTTATATGCCCACGTTCACAGCAGCAGTATTCACAATACCCCAAAGGCAGAGACAACTTAAGTGTCCATCCACAGAGAAATCAATAAAAAATGTAATGAGTACATACAATGGAATATTATTCAGTTTTTAAAATGAAAGAAATTTTGACACATGCTACAACATAGATGAAACTTGATTACATTATGCTAAGCAAAATAAGCCAGAAACAGGCAAGTATTGTATGAATTTATGTACAGGAAGTACCCAGAGTAGTCAAATTTATAGAGACAGAAAGTAGAATGCTGGACCCCTGGGGATGGGGGAAGGGAGTCAAGGAGAATAATTGTGTAGAGAACAAAATTTTAGTTGGAGACAATGAAACTATTCTGGAGATGACTGGTGGGGATGGTTGCAGAACAATATAAATATACTTAGTGCCACAGACCTGAACACTTAAAATAGTTTAAATGGTGCAGTTTATCTTATGTATATTTAATACATGAGATAATATGTATTATCTCATGTATGAAATAAGAAATAAAAAATAATAAAAACATTTAAATATACTGAAATTATTCCATATTTGGATGTCCAAATACATTTTAAGAAAATTCAGGCAAGTTTCTGAGCCTCTACAGAGCAATTTATTTTCAATTATTTTATGACCTCTGGTTATTTGTGAGGGACAATTTAGAAGAACAAATTACTTTTTATACATGTCATTTGGAAACAATATGTGATCAGCATTAAGACTGATGCAATAGTTTGAATTTATATTAGTAGTTTAATTATTGGCAATTAGAATATGTACTATTTGAAATTACTAACACAATTAACATTCCAAACATTTCTATTATTTGTATTTTATATAGGGCAGTCGATGACAAACTTTCCATGAGAGTTATTATCCTACTTTTAAAAAGAGGAAAAGTAATATATGTCAGAATATTAAATGACACATCAGATCTCATATGTAATGCCATATTATAACTGAGTACCCTATTTTTAAAAAAGAAAAATAACAAATTTATTTTTCCGATCTCCCCCTACCTCTTACTTAACTGTTTAGGAATGCAAATCTATCCTTTACACTCTCCACCAGACACATTCTACAAGGCAAGCTTATTTGACTTTGTGTTTACTTAAAAGTTCTAGAGAAGGAACCTTGAAGAAAATCAGGCACCCCAAAAACTCCCTCCCACTAGGAGATTGCCTCAATTTACAGCCCAGCTCTGCCTGCGGTGGTGCCAGCCAGACCATTGGATAGAAAATACATCAGAAGCAAGTCACTGGACCCCATCTCCTCACCCCCTGCATGTCATTCACACCAAGACCCCATTAAAAGACCCTGCCTACTGCCCCAGAAGGGGAAGCACTGCCCATTAAGGCAGAAGCCTGTCCTGCTTCCCCTCAGCTAAGCTTGGAAGAAAAAGTCTTTCTTTCTACCAGACCTTGCTCTTGTTAACAGGACTTTACAAGTGCTGAGGGGCAGGAGATGTGTTCTGCGATGTTACAATATCTCATGAACACCAATGTAGCATCTCTTTGATTATTCATGTTCCAAGGCTCTAATTCTACCATATAATATTATTGTTAGAAAAAATAGAGCCCTGTCCCTAATGAGAAAGCAGTCTCAGCCATTATATATCTGTTTCAGTAATGCAAAGAGGATATTTATTATACATCTGTTTCAGTAATGTGAAGAGGACATTTTTTTCTTATGTAAAAATAAATCCACGTGGGTTCTGTCCCTTAGTTTTTTATCCACCAAAATAGCAACAAATATTTTAAGCCTATTTAAAAACATTTCTACTTGCTTTCATTTTTGTAACTCTCCTAAAATGTATATACCTAGGCATCAGCATTAATGATGTTATACACAGGAGGAAAAAGAGAGCAGAAAAATTTCTGAGGATATTTTCATCACAAGTAGAAAAACCAGCCTTCAACCCCAGTGATGTCCTACATGAATGGAATGATACCAGCATGAACTTTTATTGACTATCTCCACACACTGGCACGTGCAATATGTCAGGATTGTTCCGTGATTCCATTGGTTTTAATCCTAATAAAAAGCTCTTTACATTGACATCACCACCGACATCTTAGATGACAAAAATTGAGATTCAGAGTTTGTAAGCGAACTTCTCTAGATCACAAAGTAAGAAGCAGCATTAAGATTATAATGAGCATCGTACAATCGCACATCACTCATGGCAAAAGAAATCAAACCAAAACAAAACAAAACACCAACCAAGTAGGTACAAGGAAATGTTACCCCTTACAATAATTATTGTGAATGTGGGTTCTTTAATTTCACTTGAGCCCATGAAAGCATAGTCTAATATAATGTATCCCTGTCTCTTCCATTGACCATCATTTCCCTTCCCCTCCAGAAAACACATTTATGAATTAGTTGCAAAATCACTTTTGGTTGCCTGCATTTCATACTCCAATATTTCTGCTGAATGGTGTTAGAGAAAGTACAGTCATTAGTGCTGAAATTCACCTCAATTCTATTTCTGAAACAAAGTCCTCTTAAGCACTTGCCAGAGTCCCTTCTTCGCTGTGATCAATAAAAATTTAAAAATACAATTATAATTAGTACCTTTATTATTTCCTCATTTCCAAACACTCAGTGCCTTTGCTTAGCTGACGGCAGTCCTACAGTCATCATAGGAACAAATTCATTTTTCTGAGTAAGCATTAAGAATATTGCTTAAAGAAATGCATATATTCATTTTTCTTCCCTACACACGAGATTTCAGAGACCTTCATTGGAATTCAGTAGCAACCATGAATCCAGTCCTTTTTAGCTGGAGAATGAGATTAACAGTTGTTTTGCTGGTATTCACTGGGGATTGTCCACTGAGACTTTGGACATTCTAGGTTGAGTCACTAACAACAGAGGATGGCCTTAATTCAAGGTTCAGAAATGAGTTCTGATTATGTATTTAGATGTTTCAAGGCATGTCAAGGGTAAATTCAATGGAGGAAGAAACAAACATATTTATTCACATTATGTCAATGTTTTCGTGTTTCTAAACTTTATGAAACCCTATAGTTTGAATGTTGTTATTTAGGCATCCACAGTAATAATGAATCTGCATACATTAATTTCTTTCTGAGTTCAATTTATATTGGCAACAAGATTTAAGCCACTAAAATAGAACGAGGTTAATTTAATAAAACCACATAAGTAGAAATTATTAAGCTATCACATACATGGGAGTTATCTTTTAACATATTTTAGGTATTATATATGTTCACACTGGTTCTTTGTATTTGGAAATGCTCAGTAAATTATACAGTGATTTTTCTCCTATTAAAACAGATAATAAAATGTTGTTATTACTCTCTTTGGTTTATTAATATTTAGAAAATAGTAATTTAATTAAATTTTTATTCAGTAGAGTGCTTTAAATGTTCTCAAATTTCTTATTTTCTTACTAAATGAATTAATGATACAATCTACCTGAGAAAAGTAATATTTCTTCATTTTTAATTTTGTTGAGTTTTAAAAGTATTTGAATTTTTCCACATGTATTTAAATTGTTAAATTATTTGACACATTATGATATGTATTTTTATTTATATTTATTGTGATATATATTTTGATATGTATAGGCTAGTCAGATGAAGCAGTGGGAGTGGAGAAGAAACCAAGAAACCTCTAACTGGTTGTGATCAATTAGTTGTAAACACCACTACACTTGGACCAGCCAATCTGATGTACTGATGCATATATATGTTGTATAATGATCCAGTCGGGGTAGTTAGTGTACATTCCTGGCAAGGACAATTTCCTGAAAGTCCAAGTGTACCGATGTTTCAATATTCCTGCATTTGAAAAGTCGAAGAATTTTTTTGCAAGTTTAAAACCTTGGCTGTTACATAATAGTATGCGCCATGTCTAGTGCAACCACGGTACTGTTTTCACAGTTTTGTTAAACTCAAAACCTATATGTGCTGAAAGAGGAGGTAAGACTCCTTATTTGATGTGGGAAGATAGACTTCAAGGGAATTTCTGTAAAACAAGGAAGACTTTTAGGTTTACCTCAAAACTACCCACCAGGGTCACATCACATATGCAAATATGGGGGATATGAGTCAACAACTTATTCCTGAAATACATATCCCAGATCTCCTGAGAGTTTCCTGGACGTAGAAATTGACTATTTCACACTTCTGCAGTAGAAACGATGAAACTAAGCAGATCGTAGGCCACAACTTGTTTTATTCTGAAAGAAGAGATTAGAATAAGAAATATAAATAAAACTGAGCTGCTTATTTTACATTTTTCCATGTCTGTATTCAGTCCATTTGAATTATTCATTAAGTCAAACAGATTTTTAAATGCATAATCATATTCACTTATAAAGAAGCTCCATTCTATTTCCCAAAGAGACAAAATTCAGGTGATAACCATTTATGTCAAATCTTTTGTTAAAGAGCAAGGGATGTTGGCACAGGCCTGTAATTCCACCTACTGGGAGACTGAGGCAGGTGGATTGTTACAGGGCCACAGGGTTCCATTGCCCATGGAGTGGTAGCAGACCAAAACACCAAAACAGCAGGAATTGCAGCAGAGAAAGGGTTTGTTAATCATAGGTCAGCTGAAGGAGGAAGAGACAGGAAGCCTCAAATCAGCCTTCTGGAGAGACTTGGACATGATTTTTTTTTTTTTTTTTTTTTTTTTTTTTGAGACGGAATCTCGCTCTGTCGCTCAGGCTAGAGTGCAGTGGCGTGATCTCGGCTCACTGCAAGCTCAGCCTCCTGGGTTCATGCCATTCTCCTGCCTCAGCCTCCTGAGTAGCTGAGACTAAAGGCACCCACAACCACGCCCAGCTAATTTTTTTGTATTTTTAGTAGAGACGGGGTTTCACTGTGTTAGCCAGGATGGTCTTGATCTCCTGACCTCGTGATCCACCCACCTCAGCCTCCCAAAGTGCTGGGATCACAGGTGTGGACATGTTTTTAGGGAGTCTGCATGGGTGATGGGCTAAAGTGTGGGGATTGCTGATTGGTCGAGGCGTGAGTGGTGAAGTCATGAGACAGGGAGATGAAGATGCTGCATCCTGCACTGAGTCAGTTTCTCAGACAAGTTAACTTTGAGTAATCACCATTCTACTCTCTGTTTCTTTGTATTCTGTTTATTTTTAGGCCCAATATATCAGGGGAAATTCAGCCCCCAATATTTCACATGGGTCCTTTTCTATTTTCCCTAAGTGTCCGCTGGTCTGAGAAATAAAGGGACAGAGGACAAAGAGAGAAATTTTAAAGCTGGGTGTCCGGGGGAGACATCACATGTTGGCAGGTTCCGTGGTGCCCCCGAACTGTAAAACCAGCAAGTTTTTATTAGCGATTTTCAAAAGGGGAGGAAGTGTACAAATAGGGTGTGGGTCACAGAGATCACATGCTTCACAAGGTAATAAAATATCACAAGGCAAATGGAGGCAGGGCGAGATCACGGGACCACAGGACTGGGGCGAAATTAAAATTGCTAATGAAGTTTTGGGCACACATTGTCATTGATAACATCTTCTCAGGAGACAGGGTTTGAGAGCAGACAACCGGTCTGAACAAAATTTATTAGGCAGGAATTTCCTTGTCCTAATAAGCCTGGGAGCACTACAGGAGACTGGGGCTTATTTCGTCCCTTATCTATGACTGTAAAAGACAGCCATCCCCAAAGTGGCCATTTTAGAGGCCGCCCCCTAGGAACTCATTCTCTTTCTCAGGGCTGTTCCTTGCTGAGAAAAAGAATTCAGCGATATTTCTCCTATTTGCTTTTGAAAGAAGAGAAATATGGCTCTGTTCCACCCAGCTCACAGGCAGCCAGAGTTTAAGGTTATCTCCCTTGTTCCCTGAACATTGCTGTTATCCTGTTCTTTTTTCAAGGTGCCCAGATTTCATATTGTTCAAACACACATGCACTACAAACAATTTGTGCAGTTAATGCAATCATCACAGGGTCCTGAGGTGACATACATCCTCCTCAGTTTATGAAGATGATGGGATTAAGAGATTAAAGTAAAGACAGGCATAGGAAATCACAAGCGTATTGATTGGGGAAGTGATAAGTGTCCATGAAATCTTCACCGTTTATGTTCAGAGATTACAGTAAAGACAGGGGTAAGAAATTATAAAAGTATTAATTTGGGGAACAAATAAATGTCCATGAAATCTTCACAATTTATGTTCTTCTGCCATGGCTTCAGCCGGTCCCTCCATTCGGGGTCCTGACTTCCCGCAACACCAATATATAAGTGAGATCATGCAGTATTTTTCTTTTTGTGTCTGAAAGCCAGTCTGGATTGAAGGACAGAAAGAAATGGGACTTTCACTGGAAGGCTACAATCATAGCAACATAATCATTTCCAGTTTTTCCCAGCTTGAGAGAACCAACGTGAACCATACTTGGGATTCTCTCCAGGAAAGTTCCATGTAAAAACATCTGCAACATGCAGGACCTTTGAATGACCTTCTAAGAGGAGGAGAGGTTGGTCTTGCTGTCTCAGGAGTGGTGAAGGCAGAAGGAAATCCACACATAAGTGGACTGCACAGTTCAAGTCCGCGTTGTTCAAGGGTCAACTGCAGATCAGGCATTCATCACTGTTGTAGTTTGAATAATCCAGGGCTTTTCTTTTTAAAACAATGCTAGATTTGTGGAGGTAAACATATTTATATTCTACTTTTTACATAGACACACTTATATTTGCCAAATGATTTTTCTTTTTTTATTATTATACTTTAAGTTATAGGGTACATGTGCACAATGTGCAGATTAGTTACATATGTATACATGTGCTATGCTGGTGTGCTGCACTCATTAACTCCTCATTTAGCATTAGGTATATCTCCTATGCTATCCTTCCCCCCTCCCCCCACCTCACAACAGTCCCCAGAGTGTGATGTTCCCCTTCCTATGTCCATGTGTTCTCATTGTTCAATTCCCACCTATGAGTAAGAATATGCGGTGTTTGGTTTTTTGTTCTTGCGATAGTTTACTGAGAATAATGATTTCCAATTTCACCCATGTCCCTACAAAGGACATGAACTCATCCTTTTTTATGGCTGCATAGTATTCCATGGTGTATATGTGCCACATTTTCTTAATCCAGTCTATCATTGTTGGACATTTGGGTTGGTTCCAAGTCTTTGCTATTGTGAATAGTGCCGCGATAAACATACATGTGCATGTGTCTTTATAGCAGCATGATTTATAGTCATTTGGGTATATACCCAGTAATGGGATGGCTGGGTCAAATGGTATTTCTAGTTCTAGATCCCTGAGGAATCGCCACACTGACTTCCACAAGGGTTGAACTAGTTTACAGTCCCACCAACAGTGTAAAAGTGTTCCTATTTCTCCACATCCTCTCCAGCACTTGTTGTTTTCTGACTTTTTAATGATTGCCATTCTAACTGGTGTGAGATGGTATCTCATTGTGGTTTTGATTTGCATTTCTCTGATGGCCAGTGATGGTGAGCATTTTTTCATGTGTTTTTTGGCTGCATAAATGTCTTCTTTTGAGAAGTGTCTGTTCATGTCCTTCACCCACTTTTTGATGGGGTTGTTTGTTTTTTTCTTGTAAATTTGTTTGAGTTCATTGTAGATTCTGGATATTAGCCCTTTGTCAGATGAGTAGGTTGCGAAAATTTTCTCCCATTTTGTAGGTTGCCTGTTCACTCTGATGGTAGTTTCTTTTGCTGTGCAGAAGCTCTTTAGTTTAATTGGATCCCATTTGTCAATTTTGTCTTTTGTTGCCATTGCTTTTGGTGTTTTAGACATGAAGTCCTTGCCCATGCCTATGTCCTGAATGGTAATGAAAATGGCCATACTGCAAAAGGTAATTTATAGATTCAATGCCAACCCCATCAAGCTACCAATGACTTTCTTCACAGAATTGGAAAAAACTACCTTAAAGTTCATATGGAACCAAAAAAGAGCCCGCATCGCCAAGTCAATCCTAAGCCAAAAGAACAAAGCTGGGGGCATCACACTACCTGACTTCAAACTATACTACAAGGCTATAGTAACCAAAACAGCGTGGTACTGGTATCAAAACAGAGATATAGATCAATGGAACAGAGCAGAGCCCTCAGAAATAACACCACATATCTACAACTATCTGATCTTTGACAAACCTGAGAAAAACAAGCAATGGGGAAAGGATTCCCTATTTAATCAATGGTGCTGGGAAAACTGGCTAGCCATATGTAGAAAGCTGAAACTGGATCCCTTCCTTACACCTTATACAAAAATTAATTCAAGATGGATTAAAGACTTAAACGTTAGACCTAAAACCATAAAAACCCTAGAAGAAAACCTAGGCCAAATGATTTTTAATGGATACACAGTGTATTTTAATAAAAATGCATTTTATACAAGTAAAGACAAAATGTAGTTTTATATTATTTACAATGAAAAGATAAGTTCAATGTTGTAAATATTGAATGCATATTTCCTTGAATTTTACAGTCATTTTACTCTATCATCTTTTTTATTTTACATTGCTATAATAGCATTTTAAACACATAATATTAAAACCTACAGTGTTTTTTCAAATCAGATATAAAATTTTCTACATTGGGATTTTAATGGCTATCATTACAAATTCTTGGGCAAGGGGAGGGAGAGCATTAGGACAAATACCTAAAGCATATGGGGCTTAAAACTTAGATGACGGGTTTATTGGTGCAGCAAACCACAACGGCACATGTATACCTGTGTAACAAACCTGCACGTTCTGCTCACATATGCCAGAACCCCCATAAAAAATAAACAAAATAAACAAATAAAATTAATAACAAATAAAAATAAAAATATATTTTCTGATCACATGATGTTATTCTTCAGATAAATAGTTTTTATGCACTTTAATTATATTTCCAGAGTGAAGATTATTCTATTTGAGAGCAACAGAAAGAACTTTAGAAAAATAGTTATAGAAAAATGTTACATTATGGAAAGTTGTATAATGCAGGGCTTTTCTCTTACTTGTTCATTCTACCTTCCTTCTTGCCTCCTCTCCTCAGAGACTAAAGCGTTTCTCAGGAATGGGCTCTTGTGGAGAGCCATGGCCTTTCACTCAGAGAATGGACCTAAGCTGACAACTTTTATAAAAATAATGTTGATCCTTCTAGGCACAGGCCTAAGCAGGTATAAAAATAGTGGAGCAGAGGAGTTGATCCCAATCCAAGATGTATAGACTTGCTGATTTTGAAGAGTAAGTAGAAAAAAATTGTTCAGAAGAGAACGTCTTGCATGAGAATACCCGTGGCTACTCAGGAGACAAACATTGTGTGTGTTGTGATGTGACTGGGGAATGGTTCAAATAACCTACTCCACATTCAACTAAGTCTAAGTCAACTGTAGTCTAAGAGGTTCTATAGAAGGTAAATTCCATAGAATCTTTTATAAAGAAATTGTTGTTTTACTAAAGGCAAATTGGCTTCACCCCAGACATACTTATTTATCCTGAGGTAAATTTATTAATAAATCATTACTTTAGCAAAAAGAGGAACACATACACACCAGTTGAGAGTAAATAAAATATTATTTAATATTCAATTAGATTCAGTAATCTTAAATAATTTGTTATTTTGTCTTATTTTAATAATAATGGGAAACAATTAACATATAACTATTATGCTGAATGATATGATTCCTTTGGACATTTATTGTTTTGATTTATACATGATAATGAAATTCTATGGCCTTACAATTTAGTGTAAAATATATGATCTGTCTTTTGATAAAAAGAAACACAAACAGAAACAAAATAGATGTCTTAGAATATGCAACTATAATGTCAAGACTAAATTAAAAGACAAACATTCTGGATTAATCTCTGTTTGACATACTGGGCATGTAATAATGTTTTTCTTCACTGCTGTACACTGCTGAGTTGATATGAACCTAGCGCTTTGACTCTAACACAGAACGTATGTCTACATTTTCACCGAGAAGATATTCTGAATCACTCGTGTCAGGGCCCCCATCACCTCCTTGTTTCTCAGGCTGTAGATGATGGGGTTGAGCATTGGGGTGAGGATGGTGTAGAAAACAGCCAGAACCTTGTCCTCTGTCAGAGATCGCAGGGATCTTGGACATAGATAGGTATAAGCAAAGGGTGCATAGTAGAAAGTTACTACAGTGAGGTGGGTGCTGCAGGTCGAATAGGCCTTTTTCCTCCCTTCTGCAGAGTGCATGCGGTAGACAGCAAGGAGAACCCAGCCATAGGAACACGCAATGCCAGTGAAGGGAAACACAAGAAAGATGGTGCTGCTCAAAAACACTGTGTACTCATAGACCCAGGTGTCTGTACAGGCTAATGTCAACATAGCTGGAACATCACAGAAAAAATGATTGATGGCTCTGGACTTGCAATATGGGATACGGAATGCATATACTGTGTGAGCACAAGAGTTGATGGAGCCTATCATCCAAGATCCTGTTATCATCAGCACATACATTCTTTTGCTCATACGGATGGGATAGTGGAGAGGAAAGCAAATGGCCACATAACGATCATAGGCCATTGATGTCAGGAGCAGCGCTTCTGCACCTGCAAAAGTCATGAAGAAGAAACTCTGAATCCCACACCCAATGAAGGAGATAGACTTGTTTCCATACAGAAAATCAGAAGCCATCTTAGGAACAATCGTAGAGATGTAATTTAGGTCAATGAGGGAGAGCTGACTAAGCAGGAAATACATGGGTGTGTGGAGATGGGTGTCCAAGAAGATGAGAAGAATCATGGATAGGTTTCCAATTAGAGCCATTAGGAAAATGAGAACAAAGAGAATGAAGAGGAAAAGGCCAATTTTTGATGGTGGGAACAGCCCCAATAAGATGAAATCAGTTGACGTTTGATTGTAATTTTCCATGGGGCATTCATACGATCCTTCCTGAAGGGAGACACAAGGGTAAGTCAAGTACAGTAGTTCCCCATTATCTGCAGGGGTTGCATTCCAAGGCCTCCAGTGAATGCCTGAAATTGCAGTTGACACTGAACCCTATATACACTATTTTTTATATCCATCAATATGTATTATAAATTTTAATTTATAAATTAGACAAGGAAGAAATTAACAAAAATAGCTGCAAATAAAATAGAACAATTATAACTATATACTCTAATAAAAGTTATGCAAATGCAGTTTCTATCTTTTTCTTTTTCTCAAAATACCTCGTTGTACTGTACTCATTTTTCTTGTGATGACAAAATGCTTCATGGGAAGACAAAATGTCTACATGATGAAATAAAGTGAAGGGAACAATGTAGGCACTATGATGCAACATTGGGCTATGACTGAAATCCAACTGATAATTTATGAAGTGTTCATTTGTGGCATTTTCCACCCAATATTTTCAGACTGCAGTTGATCACAGGAGAAACTATGGAAAGCAAAACAGTGGATAAGAGGGGACTACTTATAGAATAGTAAGCCAATTGTTTTTAAAAATCCTTAGTTTAGTTAGACTGTGAATTATTTATACAACTTTATAACTCTTAGATGACTAATCTTTCCAAATTAGAAAAAAAATCGTATTCTCTATCCAGAGATTAATATTTGATGAGACAAATATTTATAACCAAAATTTTTTCTAAGAAATATATACATTTATAGGAAAAATCATCTGTCTTACAACTTCAAAAGGATAGGAATGTTTGATGCCCAACACAAACTCAGATGTAATCAAGATCATATGTTATGCTTAAAACAAATGCATGGAAAAGTTAAATGCATATATTATGGATCTTATTAGGAATAAATTAGCATTATGTTTTCTGGATGATTTTTTTCTACATTTATTGTGTAACACTTACTTCTAAAGCTGCAGCAGCCTGTGACTTATTTGGAGGAACTTATATTTCCTTCTTGAATTGTCTTTGCATAATAATTCCAAGTCACATATGTATACATGTGCCATGTTGGTCCCATATATACATATGTGACTTGGAATTATTATGCAAAGCATGTTGTGCACATGTACCCTAAAAGTTAAAGTATAATAAAAAATAAAATAATAATAAAATGAAATGAAATAAATGAAAGTTATATAAAAAAATAATAATTCCAAGTCAAACTTTCTCTAAGTCAGACATCATTATTTGGTTCTTCTATCTAAAAATGTAGAATGAATTATTATTTTAAGTATCCTTTTCACAAAATGTAACTCACAGTCTTGGTTTTTAATGTCTGCCACCATTAAATGTTCATTCTCTTTTGCCTCCTCATTCAGTTTCACAATTCTCCAGTTACTGTGGACCCCAGATATAGATATCTGAATATCCATATGCCAATTTCATTTTAGCTTCCATGTTTCTGCTCAAGCTCTTGCCAGCAGGATGTGTATTCTGTGTCTTTGCTTCCCTAATGCTTAGAATCTCTGCTTGGCTGCTGTTGGTGAATAGAACTGCTGATTTATGTAAATTAATTTTGTGTCATGAAACTTGGCTGAATTCCTTTTTTAGTTCTAGGAGTTTTCTGGAGGAGTCTTTAGGGTTTTCTAGGTAAACAATCATAGCATCAGCAAACAGCGACAGTTTTACTTCCTCATTACCAATTTGGATGCTCTTTATTTCTTTCTCTTGTCTGACTGCTCTGGCTAGGACTTCCAGTACTATGTGGAAGAGGAGTGGTGAGAGTGGGCATCCTTGTCTTGTTCCAGTTCCAAAAGCTATGGTAATCAAAACAGTATGGCATTGGTATAAAGCCAGACATGTATACCAATAGAAGAAAGGAGAGGTCAGGTGCGTTTGTTCACACCTGTAATCCCAGCACTCTGGGAGCCTGAGGCAGGCAGACTGCTTGAGCTCAGAACATTGAGACCAACCAAAATGGAAAAATCCTGTTTCTACAAAAAATACAAAAATTAGCCAGGGGTGGTGGCTCGCACCAGTAGTCCCAGCTACTTGGGGAGGCTGAGGTGGGAGGATTGCTTGAGCCCAGGAGGCCGAGGTTGCAGTGAGCCAAGATTGTAGCCCCACATTCCCACTTGGGTGACAGAGTGAGACCGTGTCTCAAACAAGAAGAAGAAGAAAGAAGCAGAACAAGACAAAGAAGAAGAAGAAGGAGAAGGAGAAGGAGAAGGAAGGAAGGAGGAGGAGGACGAGGAGGAAAATAGAGTCAGGAAATAGACTCTCCTATAAACAGCAATATATTTTTTGGAAACGAAACTGAGTTTACTCAGTTGGGAAGGGACGGTGTTTTCAATAAACAGTGTTTGAAAAACTGGATAACTACATTCAAAATATGAAATTGGATGCTTACTTTACACCATATAGAAAAATTAATTCAAACTAAATCAAAGACCTAAGTGTAAGAGCTAAAACCATAAAAGTATAGTCAGTGCCAAAATGAAGTTCTACAGCCTCTGTGGAAAATGATTGAGAGGCTTCTCGATTTATGATGGGTTTCATCCTGATAAACCCATTATGAGTTGAAAATATTGTAAGTAAAATATACATTTACTATCCTGAAAAAGTCATCTCAATGTTAAAATATTGTAAGTCAAACCATTGTAATTCCAGATGCTCCTTGACTTACAATAGGATTATATGTTCCTATAAATGCATATTAAAGTCAAAAAATCATCAAAATATTGTATTTCTGGACCATCTGTATAGTAATTTCTTCAAAAATTAAACAGAATTATTATATGCTCCAGCTATTTAACTTCTGAATGTGGACCCAAAGAAATAAGACCCTCAGAAAGATACTTATATGGCCACATTCACAGCAGTATTATCACAATACCCCAAAGGCAGAAACAAGTGTCCGTCCACAGAGAAATCAATAAAAAATGTAGTGAGTACATACATGGACTATTATTCATTTTAATCATGAAATAAATTGTGACACATGCTACAACATAGATGAACTTTGATTACATTATGCAAAGTGAAATAAGCCACAAAGAGGCAAATATTGTATGAATTCTCCTACATGAAGTATCCAGAGTAGTCAAATTCATAGAGACATAAAGTGGAATGCTGGACCCCAGGGGACCGGGGAAGGGAGACAAGGAGAATAATTGTGTGGAGAACACAATTTTAGTTGGAGAAAATGAAACTGTTCTGGAGATGCATGGTGGTGATGGTTGCACAACAACATAAATGTCCTTAATGCCACAGAACTGTACACTTAAAAGAGTTAAAATGGTGCAGTTTATCTTAAGTATATTTACTCTAATTAAAAACATTTAAATGTACTGAAATTATTCCATATTTGGAATTCCAAATACATTTTAAGAAAATTCCTACAAGTTTCTGAGCCTCTACAGAGCAATTATTTTATGACCTCTGGTAATTTGTGAAGGCCAGTATAGAAGAACAAATTATTTTCATATATGTCATTTGGAAACAGTATGAGATCAGCATTAAGACTGATGCAATAGTATGTAATTTGTATTAGTAATTTAATTATTAGCATGTAGAATAGGTGCTATTTGTAATTACTAACACAACATTCCAAACATTTCTATCATTTGTATTTTATATAGGGCAATCTATGATAAACTTTCCATGAGACTTATTATCCTAATTTTTAAAAAAGGAAAAGTAACATAGGACAGAATAATAGACGGCACATCAGATCTCATATTTATTGTCATGTTGCAACTGAGTACCTCATTTTTAAAAAAGAAAAATAACGAATTTTTTTTTTTATTTTTTTGAGATGGAGTCGCTCTGTCGCCTAGGCTGGAGTGCAGTGGTGTGATCTCGGCTCACTGCAAGCTCCGCCTCCCGGGTTCACGCCATTCTCCTGCCTCAGCCTCCCAAGTAGCTGGGATTACAGGGGCCCACCACCACGCCAGGCTAATTTTTTTTATATATACATATACTTTTAGTAGAGACGGGGTTTCACCGTGTTAGCCAGGATGGTCTCGATACGAATGTATTTTTTCCTTCTCCCTCACCTCCTTCTTAGCTGGTTAGGAATGCAAATATATCCTTTACTCTACCCACCAGACACATTCTACAAGGCAAGTTTGTATGACATTGTGTTTACCTAGAAGTTCTAGAGACGGAATCACGAAGCAAATCAGGCAACCCCAGAACTCCATCCCACTAGGAGACTGTCTCAATTTACAACCCAGCTCTGCCTGCGATGGTGCCAGCCAGACCACCGGGTAGAAAAGACATCAGAAGAAAATCACTGGACCCCCATCTCCTCACCCCCTGCATGTCATTCACGCCAAGACCCCATTAAAAGACCCTGCCTACTGCCCCGAAAGGGGAAGCACTTCCCAATAAGGCAGAAGCCTGTCCTGCTTCCCCTCAGCTAAGCTTGGAAGAAAAAGTCTCTTTCTACCAGACCTTGCTCTTGTTAACATGACTTTGCAAGTGGTGAGTGGCAGGAGACGTATTTTGTGACGTTACGATATCTCTTGAACACCAGTGTAGCATCTCTTTGATTATTCATGTTTCAGGGTTCTAATTCTACCATATAACATTATTTAAATAAAATTAGATCCCTGTCTTTAATGAGGAAGCAGTCTCAGCCATTATACATCTGTTTCAGTAATGTGAAGAGGACATTTTTTTCTTATGTAAAAATAAATCCAAACAGGTTACTTGTGCCCCTTAATTTTTTATCCACAGAATTAGCTGTAAATATTTTAAGCCCATTTAAAAACACTTCCACTTGCTTTTATTTTTATAACTCTTCTAAAATGTATATACCTGGGCATCAGCATTAATGATGTCATACAAAAGATGAAAAAGCAAGGAGAAAAGATTCCGATGATAGTTTCACAGCGATTAGGAAAAGCAAAACTTCAACCCGGGAGGCATCATACATGAAAGGAACGATAACATTATGAACTTTTATTGACTATCTCCACACACTGGCACTTGCAATATGTCAGGATTTCTTCCATAATTCCATTAGATTTAATCCTAATAACAAGCTCTTCACACTGACATCACCACCGACATTTTATAGATGACAAAATTGAGATTCAGGGGTTGTAAGTGAACTTCTCTACATCACACACAAACACACATATGCCTATATTTACACAAACACACACATACATACATAAGTTTATATACACACATACATATCTATGAAAACATATAAATAAATATATATGTTACATATATAAATATACATTTATATACACGTTTAAAAAAATGTGTGGTCTAGTTTATCCAAATATTTTTAGGCAGTACATCTGAAATAAGGCTGACTCACTTTTTAATTACCCACAACAAAAATAAAAGACAGAGGTTAAATTTACTGAAATACATAATCATTATAGATGCTAAATAAATGAGAAATAATAAGATTTTTATATCACGAATAAGATTATTTTAATGGCTAAAATTCAATCATTTAAACTTCTTATGTTTCCTCATGTTATCTGGTTTTATTGTACTTTCCTTGACCAGGCAACAATCATACATATTTTCAAAGAAAGAAGATTTCTCAGAAAATCTAAAAGAAATACAATTTCCACCATGTTCCCAACATAAAAGTTTATCTGTTGGAATAATTCACTTACAAAAAAAATACCCATGTAATCTCCTGTGTAAATCAAGTTGAGGATGTACATATTCAGCATAATAATTACAATTCTACAAATGGTGCCCAAGTTGCAAGTGAATTACATATTACTATCTTTTGAAGTCAGAATGTATCATTAAATTGCATAGATTTTTTCCTATCCTTCAATTTAGAGTTGAATATGAGCTAATTAAAATAGCCTAATTTAAGTAATTCACATATTCATAGAAGACAAAGATTTTTCAGTGATAGTCTCATTATCATAAGGAAGAATAGCTGAATCACAGGATTTGAAGAGCGTTATTCATGACAGTACAGAGACCTAGTGATAGAGTTGGGAACCAAGGAGGATGGTTCTCTTGTGTCTAGATACTGCAGTTTTCCCTTGGGGCACTCACTGATTTATTTTCCCTATATTTTCCTCAGTTTTGATGAAAAGTATTCTCAAAGAGAAATCATTATTCATTACAAAATATGGCTGTTCCTCTTAAAGTTGGTATGATCATTTGCATAGGCACAGAAAATGTGTGAATTTACCAAAAAAATAGGAAGGGAGATAAGGGTACAAGTTGGCTTTGCTGGAAGTTTTGTAAGAAATCAGATTGAACTTTTAAAAGCCTCCAAAATCCAAGCCACACTTTACCAGATTTTGCAAAAATCTAGGTTGCTTCCTCTCTTCTGAAGGGATAACTGAAATATCCTAAAGTTCTGAAACTCTGAAACTTCCAGAAAGTGATCTTTCTTACTAACAGATAAGGCTAGGAAATGGTAAAACAGGTGACAGGGTCAGTTTCACTGGAACAGCTGTGAAGTCATTGACTTCGTAAGTCAGCCTGAATTCCTTAAAACAAGCTGTCTGTACCTGAATCTGCATGTCTATAGTAAGAATTATTTCACATTGACAACACTTGTCTAGAATGTCAATCAGATGACACAGAAGAGTGTCCTCCGGAGTATAGGCAAGGACGGCTCTCCACAGCATCCTGGCATGGAATCCTACAGGAGATTCCTCCTTCCTTCAAGTTCCTCCACAATAGATTCTCCTAAGAAGAGACACAGTACATAATGTTGTGTTTAACTGACGTAGGAATAACTGATCTTATTTAATATTTACACAATATGTATTTTTAATTGTTGAGAAGGGTATGAATTTGGAGAACCACAACTCTTTAAGGTGTAAAGGAGTGAAGAATATAAAGTGAATATTTGCTTGTGTGTATGTGTGCTTCCAAGTCACAACCTACCATTGAGGTCCACGATAGTGCATCAGCTCTCATAGATAGATACATAGGTAAGTGGGCAGACAGACATTTTCATGGATAGACAGAAAGTGATTATGAAAGTGAGTATGAAGTATCCTTTGACTGTTATTTTGGGATGAGGATGTGCTTAGTCTGCTTCACTGTGTAAGTTCATGGGAAAGAGACTCGGTTTAATACCAAATGGAATCCTAGCTCTTACAATTACTAGAAATGTAAGCTTTTGTTGCTGAATGTCTGACCCTGTATTTTATAATTACAACAGGGGGAATAATCCATGGGTTATTAGGAGCTGTCTGTGACATAGTGACCGTGTATTACTTGACTGGGTGTATCATTGAAGAGAATCTACAAGTTTCAGCATCTTCATCATTATCATTGCTGGCATCATCAACATAATCACTATCACTTACATTTACACACTTGTTATCTGCTATGACTGTAGAGTAATATAGCCTTCACATTGTTTCCACATACTATGCTCATTTCCTTCTTACAAAACCACTGCATGGTTCTTAAAGCAGAAATAATATTTCTATTATTTCACTGGAAGTTTACCTTGTGTACCAAAAGAAAAAAATAAATATATTGCAAAATTTAAAAGCACAAAGCACTACAATTTGTCACAAATTGGGTGTAAAAACAAAATTTGGATACCCATAGCATAGCTACTAATCATATGGTTTCCTTAATTATTTATTGCCAGAAGAGGGTCCTTTATTTTAAAAACTATATCATTGCTCTACAGACTGGTAATTTTAACCACTCTCATTCTGTCTTTACTTTAATGGCCTCCTAATACTTTTAAACAACACTAGTTGTTTCTACATATTTCCTTGGAAATACTGGATTCATATGAGGTGAAATAGCAAGTAAGAAACAGCAATAAGATTATTATAAGCATCATATAATTAATTACTCACCACTTGTGGCAAAAGAAATCAAACCAAAACCAAAAAATCACCAACCAAGTACAAATGAGGAAATGCTGCCCTCTATGATAATTATTGTGAATATGGGTTTTTAAATTTCACTTGAGCCCAAAAAAGCATAGTTTAATATAATTTAGCCCTATCTCTTCCATTGATCATCATTTCCCTTCCAATCCGGGAAACACATTTATGAATTAGCGGCAAAAACACTTTTGGTTGTCTGTATTCTATACTCCAAAATTTCTGCTGAATTTTCTTAACAGAAAGTACAATTACTAGTGCTCAAACTTCAGTTCGATTTCTGAAATAAAGTTCTCTTAAGCGCTTGCCAGAGTCTCTTCTTCCCTATGATCAATAAAAATTTTAAAATACAAATATAATCAGTACCTTTTATTATCTCCTCAATTTCAAACACGCACTGCCTTTGTTGGCTGCCAGCAGTCGTATAGTCATCATATGAACAAAGTCATTTTTCTAAGCAAGATTTCTGAATGGTTTTTAAAGAAATGTATACATTCATTGATCATCCCTACACATGAGATTTCAGAGACCTTCATGCGGATTCCATAGAAACCATGATCCAGTCCTTCTTTACCTGGAGAATGAGATTAACAGTTGTTTTGCTGGTATTCACTGGGGATTGTCCACTGAGACTTTGGACATTCTAGGCTGAGTCACTAATAACAGAGGATGGCCTTAGTCCAAGGTTCAGAAATGAGTTCTCATTGTGTAATTAGATGCTTCAAGGCATGTCAAGGGGAAACTCAGTGGTGAAAGAAACAAGTATATTTATTCAGATTATGGTAATGCAATTGTGTCTCTAATACTTTATGAAATCCTACACTTTTTATGTTGTTATTCACTGCATTTATAGCAAGGATGTGTCTGTATATATTAATTTCTTTCCCAATTTAGCTTATTTTAGCAATAAATTCTAGAACATGAAAATGGAACTAGGTTAATTTAATTAAAACATGTAAGTAGAAGTTATTAAAATATCACATATTGGAGTTATCTTTAACATATTTTAAATATATATTTATATTGTTTCCTTTCTTCTAGAAATACCCATTAAATTTTAAAACAATTTTCTCTTATGAAAATAGATAATAAAACTGATCTTACTACTGACTGTGGTATAATAATATCTAGAATATATTTAGTAATTAAATTTTTATGCAAAAGAGTACCTTAAAGGTACTCAAATTTTTCATGGTTTACAGTAAATTAAATATGCCTTCTATCTTGAAAAAGTAGCATTAGTCCATTTAAAATATTTGGAATTTTATAAATGTTTAAATGTTTTTAATAATCATTTATTTAATTAATTGATACATTGTTATTGTATGTATTTATGGGTTTCAATTTCATGTTTTTATTTAAGTATATGTTACATAATGATCTAATCAGGGTAGGTAGTGTATATTACTAGCAAAAATAATTTCTTGAAAGTCAAATACAGATGTTTTGATATTCTTGCATTTCAAAATCTAAAGAATTTCTTTACCTTTAAAACCCTGCCTTTGAACATAAAAGTAGATGCCACATCTAGTGCACACTAGGCACTGGTTTTATATCTTCCTTAGAAGACAAAACACATTTGTGCTGAATGAGGAGGGAAGAATCCTTATTAGATGCAGGTAGAGGTGCTTTGAGAGGATTTCTGTATGAAAGAAAGACTTTATGGGTCATGACTCAAGACTGCCCACTGGGATCCTGTAAACACATGTGGGGGATATGAGACAGAAACTAACATGGACTTGGGCATATGAAACAAAGGAAGTCTGCCGTCTGGATCTCAGGACAGAATCATCTTCAGGGGACCACCAGGATTGTGGCAGGGTGGCCTGTGTCAGAGAAGCACTGTGGCAGTCCCTTACATCTCCTACCCAACAAATCCAGAGAAGAAGGGAACCCTGAAATACCCCTGTTCTCCCTGAGAATGGTCTGGAAGTAGAAATGGAGTATTTCACACTTTCTCAGCAGAAACCACAAAAGCAAGCATAAAGTAGTTCACAACTTGATTTATTCTGGAAGAAGTGATTAGAATAAGGAACATAAATAAAACTGAGCTGTTTGGTTTATATTTTTAAATGTCTACTTTCAGTCCATTTGAATTATCCATTAAATCACATAGATATTAAATGCATAATAATATTTACTTAAAAAGTAAGCCCATTCTATCTCCCAAAGATACAAGACTCAGGTGATAACCATTTATGTCAAGTCTTTTGTAAAAGAGCAGGACACAGTGGTACAGGCCTGTCATTCCACCTACAGAGATACTGAGGGCAGGAGGATTGATACAGGCCCACCCACAGGGTTCAATTGCCCATGGAGTGGTAACAGACCAAAATGCCAAAACAGCAGAAATTGCAGCAGAGAAAGGGTTGAATAAGTCTTGATAGCTAATGGTTAATAATACTGCATTATATATTGAAAATTTGCTAAGAAAATGGGTTTTATGTCCTCTTACTATAAAGATCATAGCCTCCAAGAAATATAGGACTATGAGAAAAGACCAAACCTACATTTGATTGGTATACCTGAAAATGATGGGGAGAATGGAACCAAGCTGGAAAACACATTTCAGGATATTATCCAGGAGAACTTCCCCAACCTATCAAGACAGACCAACATTCAAATTCAGGAAATACAGAGAACACCACAAAGATACTCCTCGAGAAGAGCAACCCTACAACACATAATTGTCAGATTCACCAAGGTTAAACTGAAGGAAAAATGATAACAGCAGCCAGAGAGAAAGACTGGTTTACCCACAAAGGGAAGACCATCAAAATTAACAGTGGATCTCTCTACAGAAACCCTATAAGCGAGAAGAGAATGGGAGCCAATATTCAACCTTAAAGAAAAGAATTTTCAAAACATAATTTCATATCCAGCCAAACTAAGCTTCATACATGAAGGAGAAATAAAATCCTTTACAGACAAGCAAATGCTAAGAGATTTTGTCACCACCAGGCCTACCTTACAAGAGCTCCTGAAGGAAGCACTAAACATGGAATGAAACAACGGGTACCAGCCACTGCAAAAACATACCAAATTGTAAAGACCATCGACACTATGAAGAAACTGCATCAACTAACGGACAAAGTAACCAAATAGCATCATAATGACAGGATCAAATTCACACATAGCAATATTAACCTTAAATGTAAATGGGCTAAATATCCCAATTCAAAGACATAGGCTGGCAAATTGGATAAAGAGTCAAGACCTATTGGTGTGCTGTATTCAGGAGACCCATCTCACATGCAAAGACACACATAGACTCAAAATAAAGGGATGGAGGAAGATTTACTAAGCAAATGGAAAGCAAAAAAAAAAAAAAAAAAAAAAAACAACAACAAAGCAGTATTTGCAATCTTAGTCTCTGATAAAACAGACTTTAAACCAACAAAGATCAAAAGAGACAAAGAAGGGCATTACATAGTGGTAAAGGGATCAATACAACAAGAAGAGCTAACTATTCTAAATATATATGCACCCAATACAGGAGCACCCAGATTCATAAAGCAAGTTCTTAGAGACCTACAAAGAGACTTAGACTCCCACACAATAATAATGGGAGACTTTAACACCCCATTGTCAATATTAGAGAGAGCAATGAGACAGAAAATTCACAAGGATATTTAGGACTAGAGCTCAGCTCTGCACCAAGCCAACCTAATAGAAATCTACAGTACTCTCCACCCCAAATCAACAGAATATACATTCTTCTCAGCACTGCATTGACTTCTTCTTAAACTGACCCAACATAATTGGAAGTAAAACACTCCTCAGCAAATGCAAAAAACGGAAATCATAACAAACAGAAGATTTTGGGCTGAGACTATGCGGTTCCCTAAATATGCAATCATGTCATCTGCAAAGAGAGATAATTTTACTTCCTCTCTTCCTATTTGAATACCCTTTATTTCTTTCTCCTGCCTGATTGCCTTGGCCACTACTTCCAATACTATGCAGAATAGGAGTGGTGAGAGAGGGCATCCTTATCTTGTGCTGGTTTTCATAGGGAATGCTTCCAGCTTTTGCCCATTCAGTATTGTATTGGTTGTGGGTTTGTCATGAATAGCTCTTATTATTTTGAGATACGTTCTGTGAACACCTAGCTTATTGAGAGTTTTTAGCATGCAGGAGTGTTGAATTTTATTGAAGGTCTTTTCCGCATCTATTGAAATAATCATATGGTTTTGTCATTAGTTCTGTTTATGCGATGCATTACATTTATTGATTTGCTTATGTTGAACCATCCTTGCATTCCAGGGGTGAATCCAACTTGATGGTGGTGGATAAGTTTTGTGATATGCTGTTGGATTTGGTTTGCCAGTATTTTATTGAGGATTTTTGCATCTACATTCATCAAGAATATTGGCCTGAAATTTTCTTTTTCTGTTTTGTCTCTGACAGGTTTTGGTGTTGGGGAGATGCTGTCCTCATAAAAGGGAGGGGTCCCTCTTTTTCAATTGTCTGAAACTGTTTCAGAAGGAATGATTCCAGCTCTGCTTTGTACCTTTGGTAGAATTCGGCTGTGAATCCATCTGATCCTGGGCTTTTTTTGGTTATAAGGCTATTAATTACTGCCTCAATTTCAGAACTTGTTATTGTTTTGTTCAGGGATTTGACTTCTTCCTGGTTTAGACTTCAGAGGGTGTATATGTCCAGGAATTTGCCCATTTCTTCTAGATTTTCTAGTTTATTTGTGTAGAGGTCTTTATAGTATTCTCTGATGATAGTCGGTGTTTCTGTGGGATCAGTGGTGATATCCCCTTTATCATTTTTTATTGTGTCTATTTTATTCTTCTCTCTTTTCTTCTTTATTAATCTGACTAGTGGTCTATTTTGTTAACCTTTTCAAAAAACCAGCTCCTGGATTCATTGATTTTTTGAAGGATTTTTTGAGTCTCTATCTCCTCTGATCTTAGTTATTTCTTGTCTTTTGCTAGCTTTTGAATTTGTTTGGGTTTGCTTCTCTTTTTCTTTTAATTGTGATGTTAGTGTGTCTGTTTTAGATTTTTCCCGCTTTCTGATGTGGGCATTTAGTGCTATAAATTTTCCTCTAACCACTGCTTTAGCTGTGTCCCAGAGATTCTGATACATTGTGTCTTTGTTCTCATTGGCTTCAAGCAACTTATTTATTTCTGCTTTAATTTCATTATTTACCCAATAGTCATTCAGGAGCAGGTTGTTCAGTTTCCATGTAGTTGTGTGGTTTTGAGTGAGTTTCTTAGTCCTGAGTTCTAATTTGATTGCACTGTGGTCTGAGGGACTGTTTGTTATGATTTCCAATCTTTTGCATTTGCTGAGGAGTGTTTGAATTCCAATTATGTGGTCAATTTTAGAATAAGTGCAATGTATTGCTAAGAAGAATGTATATTCTATTGATTTGGGGTGAATAGTTCTGTAAATGCCTATTAGATTTGCTTGGTCCAGAGCTGAGTTAAAGTCCTGAATATTCTTGTTAATTTTCTGTCTCAGTGATCTCTCTAATATTGACAGTGGGGTGTTAAAGTCTCCCACTATTATTGTGTGGGAGTCTAAGCCTCTTTGTAAGTACAAAAGGAAGTTAATTGTTACTTCTGTAGAAACATGAGAGATCACTCACTTTATCTCCTATGTGAGCTTTTTGCCCAGGTCTAGGAAACAAATTGATACAACACAGATTAATGAGAAAAAAACACATAAGCTGTATTAATATTACATGTACATGTGACTCTTCACAAGAGTATGAAGTCCAAATAAATGGTCAATGCAAGATATTTTTATACTTTTAGACAAAGAATGATAAATTATAGAAAAAATCAAAGAATAGAGAAACTGGCTTGAAGCCATTAATTCTAGGGGTGTCACTAGGAGGTATATGGGGGTGTAAAGCTAGTGGAAAATAAGGGTTAATTCTTAAAGTTTATTTATTCAGGTCAACTGCATTCTTCCAATTCCCAGGCTCTGGTTGTAAGTGCTATTTTCTATTGTGATACAGGGAGGGTACCAGAAAAGTATAAGAATGTACCAAAGAGTCCTGGAGGAATCTTTATAGCTTGCTGCATGCAGAAAAAGACAGCTTAGGTAACCTTTTCTTCTAATGTTAACCAAAATTTCTCCAATGTTTTCAGCTCAAACTAATAAATATGCTGAGTCAGCATATTTGTGGATGGTACACCACTCATTCCTTTACTTTAATTATTTCACTACTGAACCACAACTTGTTCTAACGAGAAATATACTCATCCTTCAAAATAGAAAGAGTACTCATGTCCTTTTCCAAAAATCAAACTTTGCTAATGGAATACATAAGAAATTTCTAAATGCACACAGTGTATGTTATGAAATCCAGATAGATACCATGTTCTATAAAATTTGCATCTTCTGTTCCAAAGACAGGAAATAATTAAAGAACGACTGTGAAGTGCAAAATAATAACTACAGCATAACATTTGGATGGAAAGAAAAATGGCTAAAACGAGGAAGAGGCATAACTTAAAAATTAGCCAAGAACTCTGTGAGGTAATGAATTCATTAACTTCCCCACCAAGGGGAATTATTGCCCAACTTTCAAAATTATCTTGTGTATATTCTCATAAACAATGTAGCAAATGACAGTAGATTTGAATAATTTGACTTCTTTTTATGTTGTTCTTCTTAATGACCATAAGGGGAAAGGAGTGGCCTCTTGAGTGCAGACACCACGTCAGAGGGGACTAGCTTATTGCTTTCCTGAGCCAGAGCCTACTGGCATAAAAGACTTTTGAAGTGTCATTTATGATAGCCTTGGAAGGCTCAATATTCACTGATGACCTCTTTATCTCCACTGCCAGAGTCATTGGCATGAAAAATAGGATCACCATTGCCTATACAGGAATGTCAGTAGGAGTGATTTCAATGATGCCATTTACTGATAAGGTACAAGGCATCCATATTGTTTTTCAGTCAACTAACTTCAGAGAGATGGAATGATTTCCCCGAGGCCATGGTACATCACAGAAAATCATAGAGCTAAGTCTACTGATTCCCTCCATGAATCACTACCTGAAAGGGTAAAGGGTCTGAACTGAGCACCACTGCTTATTTCAGTCCTCCCTCAGGTTCTTTCCAATAATAATAAATAACAAAAACAGTAGACATTCCATCTTAGTGTATTCAAGCTGCTATGACAAATGTATCTTAAATGGGGTAACCTATAAACAAGAGAAATGTGTTTCTCAGAGTTGTGGAACCTGTGAAATTTAAGACGAAGTGACTGAAGATTCAGTGTCTGGAGAAAGGTTGCTTTCTGGTTCATAGATGGTAGCTTGTATGACACCATAGTTGGTACTGTCTGCTGTGACCTCACATGGTAGAAGGCACAAACAAGCTCTCTCAAGCCTTCTTTAGAAAGGCACAAATCTTACTCAAGAGGGTGCTACCCTCATGACCTAGTCATTTCCCAAAAGGCCCCAACTCCTAATATTATCACATTGAGGGTTAAGATTTAAGCATATGGATTTGGGGAGTATACAAACACTCAGACCATCACGCATTCCCACCACTATCCTAGGCTGCATGATCTCATTCACTTCATGTTCACTCTTCCCATCCTTCTCGGGATTGGTTTCATGGACCTATGCACAGGGTCCCACACTCAAAGGGCTCCATGCATGGTTTCATGCTCTGCTGTTATCATTGGAAGTTTCAATCATTTCATCTTTAAGCATGCTTGTGACAGAGGAACTGGAGAGGTTGGCAGAATGCATGCAGTTTTGGTTCAGTAGCAGTGACTACACAAGTGGGCTCAGGCAACACCCACATGAGACAACTGGCCTGGCGTTCTTATGCACACAAACACACACACACACACACACACACACACACACACACACACACATATCTTGCAATATTTCACAGTACCACAGGACCCCAAGCAGTGGCTGGGGTATGACTGGGCTCAGATTGGTAGTAATGATAGAAGCAGTGGCACAGGTGGCAGTTGGGTACAATTGTCCCTAACGGGGAAGAGAGGAGGTGCTCTCCCTGGCAGTAGCAAGTGACTGCTGATGGGAGGCCTATTTTCCCTCTGCTCCAGAGCCCATCTCTGTTGTATTCATGGAATATGACGTATCTGACTGAGTTCAGGACAGGAAATGGCAAGAAGTTTAGGCAGTAAACTTTGTTAGTAAATCATCACCAAATAAAAATATACGCTGCTCATTGCAACAAAGCACAACAAAGACTTACTCTGATTCATAAAACAAGTTCAAAATGTATGTTTTAACTGCTACGACATTGTAAAACAAATATCCACAGGCTTAGAAATAGAAATGACATTTCAAAAGCATTGAAATAATTTTTACCGTAATACTTTACTGTTAACTGTAGACATGGAAGAGAACACTAGAATGATTTGTACAAAACACTGGTAAAAGAAAATGAAGAGGAATACAAACAAATGGGAAAACATCCAATGCTCATGGATTGAATAATTAATATTATTTAAATAACCAAACTACAGATTCAATGCAATGTCTATCAAAATACCAATGACATTCTGCACATAAATAGTAAAAACCATTCTACGATTCGTATGGAACTATAAAAGACCCCAAATAGTCAAAGCAATCTTGAACAAAAAGAACAAACCTGGAGGCATAAAAGTACCAAACTTCAAACTATACTACAAACATGGAATAACCAAAACAGAATGGTACTGGCATAAAAAAGACACATAGAACAATGAAACAGAACAGAGAACCCAGAAATAAATCCACCCATCTACAGTTAACTGATTTAATTTTTTTATTTTTAATTACTATAATAGTAATATATAATTATGGAGGGTATGTGATGTTTTGATAAAGGCATACAATGTGTAATGATCAAATTTGGGTAATTGGGGTAACCATCACCTGAAATATGCATTATTTCTTTGTGTTGAGAACATTCCAATTCCACACTTTGAGTTATTCTTGAAGATATACAATAAATTCTACAATAAATTATTGTTTACTATAGTCACTCTGTTGTGCTACCAATTACTGGCTCTTATTCATTATATCTAATTATATTTTTGCAACTGTTAACCATCCCCACTTTATCACCCCTCCCCTGCACCCTTCCCACCCTCTGGTGACCATCAGTCTATTCTCTATTTCCACTGGTTCCATTTTTAAAAATTTTAGCTCCCACAGATGAGTGAGAACATGCAGAATCTTTCTGTGCCTGGTGCAGTCAACTGATTTTTGACAACAGACCCAAGAATGTTCACTGGGAAAAAGACAGTGTCTTCAATACACTGTGCAGGGAAAACTGGATATTTTTAAGCAGAAAAATGAAACTAAACTCCCAATTCTTATACCATACCAAAATCAACTCAAAATGGGTTAAAGAACTAAATGTAATCATTTTTATTACTGCTGGCACATTCCAGTCCTTGTTGTTGACCTAAAATATACCTGATGTTCAATCATTTCCTGGGATTCATTCCCCTATAAAACACATAAACTTGTCATAGGCCATCCAGCGTGGTATCAGGACTTAAGAATCCCTGACGAGCTCTCTGCTAAATTGTGTAAAAATAACTTCCCTAAGTTGAAAGAAACAGTAACTGGTACGTTAAGTGTCTAAATAAGAAAGACATTTTACAGTTTTCAATTGGATCCACCAAGTCAAGAGATATTTTTTTGTTTTAGACATAAACAAAAATGTAAATTTAAAATTACTGGAAAATAAATTGACAATAATAGAATTGTTATACTAAGTGCCAACTTTGGTTAGACAAATTTCATTTCCATTTCTGCATAACTAAAAACAAACATTCTCATTGACAATATTTTGGCAAAAGTATGTGCTTTCAAAATTTATGGGATAAATGCCATGAAGAAAAAGGTTGTTTAGAATTATATACATCTTTGTAAAACAATTTTGTCCAGAAATCAGTGATTTTTTTTTCTTCTGTTGATTACTTTTTGCTCCTGAACTCTAGGAATGAAATGATATTTTAATTACTATACACTGCTGAATGGATGTGTATCTGAGTCCTGAAACCTTAGGCAGAAAGTGTTTCTACATTTTCACAGAGCAGATTCTCTGACTCACTCGTGTCAGGGCCCCCATCACCTCCTTGTTCCTCAGGCTATAGATGATGGGGTTGAGCATTGGGGTGAGGGTGGTGTAGAAGACAGCCAGAACCTTGTCCTCTGTTGGAGATTACAGGGATCTTGGACGTAGATAGGTGTAGACAAAAGGTGTATAGTAGAAAGTTACTACAGTGAGGTGGGTGCTGCAGGTCAGGTAGGCCTTCTTCTTCCCTTCTGCAGATTTCATGTGGTAGACAGCAAGGAGAACCCGGCCATAGGAACATGAAATAGCAATGAAGGGAAACACGAGAAAGATGGTGGCACTCAAAAGCACTGTGCCCTCATAGACCCAGGTGTCCATGCAGGCCAGAGTCACCATTGCTGGGACATCACAGAAGAAATGATTGATAACCCTAGATGGGCAATAAGGAATATGGAGTATATATACAGTGTGAGCACAAGCATTGATCGAGCCTATGATCCAAGATCCTGTTATCATCAGCACACACACTCTTTTGCTCATGCGGATGAGATAGTGGAGAGGAAAGCAAATAGCAATGCAACGAACATAGGCCATTGATATCAGGAGTAGCGCTTCTACAACGGCTAAAGTCGTGAAGAAGAAACTCTGAATCCCACACCCAGTGAAGGAGATAGACTTGTTTCCATGCAGAAAATCAGATGCCATCTTAGGAACAATGGTGGAGATGTAATTTAGGTCAATGAGGGAGAGCTGACTAAGTAGGAAACACATGGGTGTGTGGAGATGAGTGTCCAAGAAGATGAGAAGAATCATGGATAGGTTTCCAATTAGAGCCATTAGGAAAATGAAAACAATGAGGATGAAGAGGAAAAGGCCAATTCTTGATGGTGGGAACAGCCCCAGTAAGATGAAATCAGTTGATGTTTGATTGCAATTTTCCATGGGGCATTCCTACAATCCATCCGGAAGGGAGACACGAGTAAGTTAAGACAGAAATTCATCCTTATCCGCAGAATTTCAATCCCTGAATAGACCAATAACAAGTTCTGAAATTGAGGCTATAATAAATAGCCTACCAACCAAAGAAAAGGCCCAGGTCCAGATGGATTATAGCTGAATTCTATCAGAGGTCCAAAGTGGAGCTGGTACAATTTCTTCTGAAACAGTTCCAAACAATTGAAAAGGGGGGAATCCACCATAACTCTTTTTTTTTTTTTTGAGCTGGAGTCTCGCTTCGCCCAGGCTGGAGTGCAGTGGTGCGATCTCGGCTCACTGCAAGCTCTGCCTCCCGGGTTCCCGCCATTCTCCTGCCTCAGCCTCCCGAGTAGCTGGGACTACAGGCGCCCGCCACCACGCCTGGCTAAATTCTTGTATTTTTGGTAGAGACGGGGTTTCACCGTGTTACACAGGATGGTCTTGATCTCCTGACCTCGTGATCCTCCCACCTGGGCCTCCCAAAGTGCTGGGATTACAGGCGTGAGCCACTGCGCCTGGCCTGTATACAGTTTTTAAAAGCGAAGAAATTTTGACACATGCTACAACATGGATGAAGCTTGAATACATTATGCTAAGTGAAATAAGCCTGTCACAGAAAGACAAATATTGCATGAATTCACTTACATGAAGTACCCACTGTAGTGAAATTCACAGAGAGGGAAAGTGGTATGCTGGAGCCAAAGTATTAGTTGGAGACAATGAAATTGTTTTGGAGATAGGTGCATGGTAGTGATGGCTGCACAACAGTATATGTGCTTAATGACACAGAATTC